>NC_000002.12:194459314-194762345 GCF_000001405.40 Homo sapiens
ATGCACCCACTCCCATCAGAAACAACTACAAAGCAAACACAATACTCCAAAATGAACAATATGAACTAGACATCCTATACAATCATTTTCAAATATGATAAATTTGAATTTAAATGTCTTTTATCTAATATTTTCTCTTATATTTTTTTCTTTCCTTTTTCTGATATTTTATTCTCATGGTCTTCATTCTATCTCTTACACACAAACACACACAGATATGTACACACACATACACAAACACATGCACATTTATATCTATCTTTGGATTCTGTGAAAAACAAAATAAAACAATTCAAGAGAGTAGTATGTAAAGTATAATCTAAGAACACACACTAGAAATCAAAGAATTCTTGAATCTGTATATTTAAAAAGGTGGAACATCTGTGAATATTGCCCTAGACACATTAACTCCAAGATGGATTCTATTAAAATTGCCAGAAAATAAAGATGAAAGAAATCGTGTTTAGGACTTTCAGGCAAAAGTCCCAAGTTTACTCAGAAAAAAAAAATCGGTTTTTTTTTCAGACCTCTTTATTCAAGAAGGAATTCAATAAACTAATGTGTGAGCCAAGGACTTTATATTTATCATCACTGTCCTTCAAGAAATAAGTCTATAGAAAGCCTTCGAGCTTGCAAAAATACAAAGAGCACTGCACTCAGAATCCTCCTGAGAAATTTACTAGAAAATGAGCTTCATCCAACTAATTGATGACTCTGGGAATGTTAACAAAATGTACAAAAATTTAATTTTTAATAAAATATAATTATTTTATATATGCATTCATAAGTATATATTTCTTTTTACCTAAATATATATTTATATTTCAAATATATTTACATATTTATTTATATATTTAATTATATATCAAAGATTAAAAATGGAGACAAAGGTGGTAATCAATTTTTAATTGATACACATATTGACAAGGTATAAATAACATAACTAAATATGTGAAAGGAGAAGAGAGGGGAAAGTGAAAAGGAGAAGAAGCTCATAGGCTTTTAAATAAGGGGTCCAAGGATATTTTTTATAGCTGAAAAACGCGACATTAAAAATTTAAGGCAGGGAAAAAGAATAAAAGCATTGTAAATGTTATTAGTATACATACGGTCAGCAAAACAAAAATATAAATTTTCTAAATTCTAGAACAATAAGAACACTACAGAAAGAGAACAAACCACATGAAGGAAAACAATGACTATAACAGAAGGATCAAAATTATCATAACAAAAAATGTCATGATAGAATTAAAATCAAGCAAATGTTATGTAAATAAATGTGGATGAGATTGCCACCTATTAAATAAAACACCGCAAATTGGCTCACAAAGCAAAATTCATTTCAATAATGTATCCAACATGCATACCTGAAGCGAAGTAACTCTGAAATACTGAAATTAAAGGGATGAAAAATATATGCCATCAAAGATACATAATACAAGAACGAATGCTTTTCTATTCTTATTCTAAGGAACACAGAATTCAGCCTGGTGCGGTGGCTCATGCCTCTAATCCCAGCACTTTGGGAGACACAGGCGGGTGGATAATTTGACGTTAGGAGTTTGAGACTACCCTGGCCAACATAGTGAAACCCCGTCTCTACTAAAAATACAAAACTTAGCCAGGTGTGATGGCACGTGCATGTAATCCCAACTACTGGGGAGGCTGAAGCAGGAGAATCGCTTGAGCCTGGGAGGCAGAGGTTACAGTGAGCTGAGATCGTGCCACTGTACTCTACTCTGGGTGACAGAGTGAGACCCAGTCTCAAAAAAAAAATTTAAAAAAGGCAGAATTCAGGACGAAAATATTAATGATGGCAATAAAGAACTTTAAATACATAAAGCCAGTCACAGAAAACATGTAACAGGACTATGTATACAATATAGCAAAAATTAATTCAACTTTATAAACCAAAATTATTAGATTGGTGCAAAAGTAATTGTGATTTTGGCTGTTACTCTTAACAGCCAAAACCTGTATATACGAGAGCAAAGAGAAGTAGAATGATATCTACTTATAGAGAAGACATTACCATGACACTATCAGTAAAATACTGGCAAACCGAATCCAGCAGCACATCAAAAAGCTCATCCACCATGATCAAGTGGGCTTCATCCCTGGGATGCAAGGCTGGTTCAACATACACAAATCAATAAACGTAATCCAGCATATAAACAGAACCAATGACAAAAGCACATGATTATCTCAATAGATGCAGAAAAGGCCTTTGACGAAATTCCACAATCCTTCATACTAAAAACTCTCAATAAATTAGGTATTGATGGGACGTATCTCAAAATAATAAGAGCTATCTATGACAAACCCACAGCCAATATCATACTGAATGGGCAAAAACTAGAAGCATTCCCTTTGAAAACTGTCACAAGCCAGGGATGCCCTCTCTCACCACTCCTATTCAACATAGTGTTGGAAGTTCTGGCCAGGGCAATCAGGCAGGAGAAGGAAATAAAAGGTATTCAATTAGGAAAAGGGGAAGTCAAATTGTCCCTGTTTGCAGATGACATGATTGTATATCTAGAAAACACCATCGTCTCAGTCCAAAATCTCCTTAAGCTGATAGGCAACTTCAGCAAAGTCTCAGGATACAAAATCAATGTGCAAAAATCACAACATTCTTATATGCCAATAACAGACGAGCAGAGAGCCAAATCATGAGTGAACTCACATTCACAATTGCTTCAAAGAGAATAAAATACCTAAGCATCCAACTTACAAGGGATGTGAAGGACCTCTTCAAGGAGAACTACAAACCACTGCTCAATGAAATAAAAGAGGATACAAACAAATGGAAAAACATTCCATGCTCATGGGTAGGAAGAATCAATATCGTGAAAATGGCCATACCGCCCAAGGTAATTTATAGATTCAATGTCATCCCCATCAAGCTACCAATGACTTTCTTCACAGAATTAGAGAAAACTACTTTAAAATTCATATGGAACCAAAAAAGAGCCCGCATCACCAAGTCAATCCTAAGCCAAAAGAACAAAGCTGGAGGCATCATGCTACCTGACTTCAAACTATATTACAAGGCTACAGTAACCAAAACAGCATGGTACCGGTACCAAAACAGAGATATAGACCAATGGAACAGACCAGAGCCCTCAGAAATAATGTTGCATATCTACAACCATCTGATCTTTGACAAACCTGACAAAAACAAGAAATGGCAAAATGATTCCCTATTTAATAAATGGTGCTGGGAAAACTGGAGAGCCATAGGCAGAAAGCTGAAACTGGATCCCTTCCTTACACCTTATACAAAAATTTATTCAAGATGGATTAAAGACTTAAATATTAGACCTAAAACCATAAAAACCCTAGAAGAAAACCTAGGCAATACCATTCAGGACATGGGCATGGGCAGGGACTTCATGTCTAAAACACCAAAAGCAATGGCAACAAAAGCCAAAATTGAAAAATGGGATGTAATTAAACTAAAGAGCTTCTGCACAGCAAAAGAAACTACCATCAGAGTGAACAGGCAACCCACAGAATGGGAGAAAAATTTTGCAATCTACTCATCTGACAAAGGGCTAATAACCAGAATCTACAATGAACTCAAACAAATTTACAAGAAAAAAAACAACCCCATCAAAAAGTGGGTGAAGGATATGAACAGACACTTCTCAAAAGAAGACATTTATCAAAAGACACATGAAAAAGTGCTCATCATCACTGGCCATCAGAGAAACGCAAATCAAAACCACAATGATACTCCATCTCACAACAGTTAGAATGGCGATCATTAAAAAGTCATTAAAAATATATAATATTATATGCAGCTGTTATTTATTATATTATACATTATATTTTATATAATAATATATAATGTATAATATGATATAATGTGTAATATAATAATAGATTATATATTATATTATATAATATATAATAGATTATATATTATGATATATTACATATAATATATAATAGATTATATATTATGATATATTACATATAATATATAATTCTATAATATATATTATATAATCTATATAAATCTATTATATATATTATATTATCTATATAAATCTATTATATCTATTATATTATCTATATAAATCTATTATATCTATTATATTATCTATATAAATCTATTATATCTATTATATTATCTATATAAATCTATTATATCTATTATATTATCTATATAAATCTATTATATCTATTATATTATCTATATAAATCTATTATATCTATTATATTATCTATATAAATCTATTATATCTATTATATTATCTATATAAATCTATTATATCTATTATATTATCTATATAAATCTATTATATCTATTATATTATCTATATAAATCTATTATATCTATTATATTATCTATATAATATCTATTATATATATTATATTATCTATATAAATCTATTATATATATTATATTATCTATATAAATCTATTATATATATTATATTATCTATATATCTATTATATATTATATTATATTATATTATATATAATATCTATTATATATATTATATTATATTATATTATATATAATATCTATTATATATATTATATTATCTATATAATATCTATTATATATTATATATTATATTATATATAATATCTATTATATATATTATATTATATTATATATAATATCTATTATATCTATTATATATATTATATATATCTATTATATCTATTATATATATTATATATAATATCTATTATATCTATTATATATATTATATATAATATCTATTATATCTATTATATTATATTATATATAATATCTATTATATCTATTATATATATTATATATATCTATTATATCTATTATATATATTATATATAATATCTATTATATCTATTATATATATTATATATAATATCTATTATATCTATTATATATTATATATATAATATCTATTATATCTATTATATATTATATATATAATATCTATTATATCTATTATATCTATTATATATATATCTATTATATCTATTATATATATTATATACATAATATCTATTATATCTATTATATATATTATATATATAATATCTATTATATCTATTATATATATACTATCTATTATATCTATTATATATATTATATATGTACTATCTATTATATCTATTATATCTATTATATATATACTATCTATTATATCTATTATATATATTATATATATACTATCTATTATATCTATTATATATATTATATATATACTATCTATTATATATCTATTATATATATTATTTTATATTATATATAGTATCTATTACATATATTATATTATATTATATATAATATCTATTATATATATTATATTATATTATAAATAATATATATAATATCTGTTATATATAATAGATATTATATATAATATATAATATATATAATAGATATTATATATATTATATTATATAATATATAATATATAATATAATTAATATAAAATATATATAATATATAATTAATATAATATGTAATATAATAATAGATTGTATTTATATATCTATCTATATATATATATAAATAACGGCTGCATTGCATTAACAAGCTAGGTCCAAACTACTTAATAAAGATTTGTCTTCTAAAAAGGTGGTATCCTTTGATAAAAGTATGCAAACATTAAAACAAAATTATTTCATTGTTTGCTAATAGAATTCATGCATTCACTGGATACCTCAGAACTTCTCAAAACTTGGAATCAAATTAGACATTGCAGTGTTCATTTCCTCTTCCACAGGGATACTTACGCAGTCTGGCTTATTATCATAACATTACTGAAAACTCAGCTTTGTAGATATGATGTCACAATTCCACAAGGTGAACGGTCCTGGTATATGTGTGCTTTTGCCTTAAAACACAGAGTATGGCAGCTAGGCATGGTGGCTCACACCTGTAATCTCAGCACTTTAGGAAGGTGAGGATCCCTTGAGGCCAGGAATTTAAGACCAGCCTGGGCAATGCAGCGAGTCCGTGTCTCTACAAAATAACTTAAAAAATTAGCTGGACATGGTAGCATGCACCTATATTCCCAGCTACTTGGGATTCTGAGGTGGGAGGATCACTTGAGCCCGAGTTTGAGGCTGCAGTGAGCTATGATTGTGTCACTGCTCTCCAGCCTGGGCAACAAAGCAACAGTCTGCCAAACAAACAAACAAAAACAGACTACGGCAGACTATGGGACTATGGTGTTATTCTGAGAGCAGCTACTTTATCTTCGGTCCCAAAATTTAAACTTCTTTGGCCATAATGCCAAATCCTTAGACATTAGAACAAAGCTAAAATAACATTAAGGTCCTATCTGAGGATGATGTAATAACATCGAATTAGGAGATGATATGTGTCTCTCTTTCTGTGTGTGTGTGTGTGTGTATGTGTGTGTGTGTGTGTGCATATCAGTTGGACTTCGAAAGACATGACAAATAATCTAGATTCGTGCTGTCAGTTTGTTAAAAACATGGAATATGCATTTGCAGAAAGGAATGATCATTACAGAGCAAAATTACATCAATTTTTCCATTTAGTTTTGCCATGTCTTCCAAATTCCACACTCACCGCAGCTAGTAAAACATTTTCCTCTTATTTTCACACAAGTCCTTCACTACCATGCTGTTCTTAATTTTTCCTTTTCTCCTGCTCTCATCACTCCCTATTCCTTTCCAAAAACCCCATCCAGAGGGAAGAGGCTGTCTGCTCACAAAGTCTTAAGAAAAGTGGAGTATAATGTCAGTTTTGAATATCCCTTTCCTTGAATCTGAGGAACAGACCCACTAGAATTCTCAAGCATGCAACTCTGTAAATTCTTACATGGACAAGTAAACAGTAGACTACATTAAAAAAAGGTGATCAGTTTTAAAGGGGAAAGCACAGGAACCTATATGAATACATAAAAGAAACACACAACTCAAATGTTTTGGTCATGAATCAAGTAGAACTTTACAGCGATGGTGTCGTATAATTTGATATCCGACTAATAAGAATGTACCAGATGAAAAAGAGGATGAGGATGGTATAGCATGACCACAGTAGAAAGTGAAAATGTTAAGCAGTGAAGTTTGATATGCAATCTGTGTCACATCTTGAAACTTTTAGAAAACCGTGTTATTGTGACACACCTGATGAAATTGTCTCTTTATATTCAAAAATGTCCTGGTTTAGAAGACATAGTGTATGGTGTCCCTGTGGATGACCGTGACCTAGTTTTAAATCAGTAGTGCTTTTAAATCTGTCATATATATCATATCATATATATCATACATGTCATATATATGATATATATGTATGTCATATATATGATACATATATATGTATGTTTGTGTATTTATATACACATTACTGAGCACACTTAAGGTTAAAAGTACATCACAGAAAAGGCAATTTATATTGTCCCGGAAGGCTGAGTAAAGAGTTGAAGAAGACAAGATCTAAATATTTGGTACTTGTTATTTTAAAAACTTACATTATATTTTTTCAGTAAGTAAAAATATTAGGTAAATTAAACTTTTTCCTATATAATATACATACATATGTTTAACACTTACTAAAAATATCATCAAAATAAGGTGTTTATAAAATGTGGTTAAATGAAAAGGGCAATTTTGCTTTAAAAATGCAAATTCAGACATATCATACTTTTTTTTGTGACTTCTTTAAATTTCAAATCTCCAACATCCCTTAACTCATTAATGGCCTTACTGTATATTTCACTGATTAAATGGAAGCAATCAGAAGAAAAAAGCTAGCTTCACCCTATCCCATGTGTGCTTGCACATGCGCACGCACACACACACACACACACCTTAACTACCTGCATCTGTGTCATGTATTCTGCATTGTTTATGTGCATAAGCTGTCCATGCTCATGGATAAAGCCAGTTCCACTCCTTTTATACTAGACTTTTATCCCTATCACTTATTTAAGGCTATTGCTCCAGATTTTCTGCCCTTTCATTTGTTTGTATTTCTATCTTACCTGATTGGCTGCTGCCTCTCATCCTTCGTTGGCATTTTCTTCTGATCTCCTCAAACCAAACACTGGGGTGCCCAGGCTCTTCCTAGAGCCTTTTTCTTTTCTATTAGAGAATATAGTTTTATACTGAATATAATGTAGAGTTGATAGATAAAATACAGGATACCTAGTTAAATTTGAATTTAAGAGAAACAGCTAATTTTTATTACATGTCCAGTTGTCTCAAATATTGCATGAAACATACTATACAAAAATTATCCAATGTTTATCTAGAATTCAAATTTACATATACACATAGTCTCTGTGATGCATATAATATATAAAACCTCGGTTTTCTTTCAGTTTCTCCCATATCTAGGCCTCCTTCTGAAATTGAGACTTCCATATCCGACTTTCTACTTGATATAGCCACTAATATATCTCAAATTTTGCATCTTTCAAATGAAACATCTGACATTTCCTCTCAGACATTTGCTTTTCTCCAGTGTCTTTCTATTAATAAAAAAAAATATTCTTTTAGTTGCTGGAGGAGGAAAAAAGTCATCTTATTTCTCTTCAACCCATATCCAAAGCTAAAAAATATCTTGTTCCAGCTAACAGCATAGATCCCATTCTCATTAAAAGTCTGTTACGACAGCCTCTGTTATCAAATTTGACCTTCTCAGGGAGGCCATTCCTGCTCATCCTACTTCAAACTGCACTCCTTCGACTTGGGCAACTTCCTAACTTCTTCTCCTAGTTTCTTTTCTTTGGTTACATATGTCACCATCCAACAAAATATAAATTTTCTCGTTGTTTTTGTATATTATCAGTCATTTCTGACAAGAGTATAAGTTCCATGGGTGCAAGTTTTTTATTTTTTATTTTTGTTTGTTGTATCGCTAGGGTGGTATCTGATATACAGAAAGTCCTCAATAAATATTTGATGACTTAATAAACACGTAAATATATACCTGATAGTGGTAAAATCAACAGAATAATATAACCTGGAAATAAAAATGATTTGAATTTTTATTAATTTAATTTCAATGTTATTTGATGAATGCTTAAACATTTTGAACATGCTGAGTGAATAGGATATTAAATAATTAATAATTTTTATCAAGTCTATTAAAACAATTATTGACATTTTTGTTTGATTTGAATGTATAGCCCATTTCATTTTTATTAACTGTCTTAGGTAACAAATTTCCATCATTTTTTTCTTCTTTTTAGTTGTATTTTTTTAGTGTCCCTGGGAAGCCACGAATAATCATTCTTTCTTAAATTAGTTTCGAGAGTAGATCACAAAAAGCTTTCCTAGAAGTACCCCTTTAATTTTCCAATAAATTATTTGGATATGCTGTTTTAGAAATAGTCAATTTAGATAAGCCAAGTGAAAAAAATTTCTAAGTCAGGACAAAATTGGTAATGTAATAAGCTTTTACATTATTTTTAATTCAAAATCCTTAATAATTGCTACATGAGGGTAATGTGCCTTTCCCCCAAGTTTTTTTCTCTGGCTTCCTTTACTTTACATTATCTATACTTTACTTCTACTTCTATATACTACCTCTACTTCTCTTTTTGTCCTCTGCCATCATGCTACTCTAGACTACTGTTTTCTTATTCTGACTTTTCCTTTCCTGAGGTTAAATTTCAAATTTCTAGGAAAACCTCCAAATCCTGCATCTTCTGAACCATACTGAAATCTACACTAGTGGCTTTCAGTGTTTGCAAAGAAGAATCACCAGGGTGCTTTTAAAAACTCTTGATATCAAGGCATCACCCCAGAACATTGAAATAGGATGTCTAGGTATGGAGCCTATCCAGACAATTGCTATGATTACTCACCAGAGATGAGAACTCTGACCCTATAGCCTCCTTGGGACCACTTTTCACTCTCGAACTTCCATGAGCCTTTTTTGCTATGTTAATTAACCATAGCGTGACCCCATCGCATGCAATTATATTTTATGTTAGTTACACATTTGTAATTCTAGTGCTCTGGAACAACTGTGTGGTGGTTTTTGCACTAAAGTATAAGCCTGGTGATGGCTGGTACCAGAAGATCTCTTTGTTTCAGTACTTTATCACTAATGCCAAACACAGGATCTGATACACAGAAGGTACTTCATAACAATAGAAGAAAAAAGGGAAGACAAAAAGAAGAAAGAAAAGAAGAAAGAAAGAGAGAGAGGGAGAGACGGAGGGAGGGAGGGAGGGAAAGAAAATGGGAGGAGAAGGGAAGAAAAAAATAATGGCAGCTTTTCTGTGTTGCCTCCTCATGGATATATTATGGTGAATTCATAGTGACACATGCAGATAAGAGATAAACTCTCACAGCAATTCTGACCCTCCTCCATTTTTACTCTACTGCTTTCATCGTTGGAATTAGTAACAAAGAAGTGAGCTGGGGTGATAGTACAAGGAGATAATTAGTGAAAAACAGAACCTTAAGAATTCTGAGACCTATCATATATCCAACCATTGTCAACATTATATGCAATATTCTTTTTATAAAAAATAGTCAAAGCAAGGAGATGAGATTCATCCTCCCCTTCCACACATAGGCCTCAGTAAATGGTTTTGTGTTGTTTTTCTCCCTTTTATTTTATTCTGCTTTCATTTGTATATAGGTGCTTAATGTTGGGTAAAATACATTTATCTTGGATTTTAAGGAGTTTAGTAGATTGTCCGGGAATCAACCCTAAGGCATAGTCTGACTATTCCCCTCTCTGCAAATGTGATGACCATCGCTGTTCACGAAAATAATGTCTCCTTGAAAAGATATCCTATACTGTCAAGAGACTTGGAAGGGCCCTTATAATCTGTTCCACCAGTTTGCAGTCAGTGATGACAGCTTCTTTCCTCAATTGTTCCTGCCTTCTCTGAAAAAAAAAATACTACTTCATATTTCTGAGAAATAAGTATAAAAATGATACTTCTGGGCTTCTCACATGGTATGCTTCATAATAATGGATTCATTTAAAATATAAGGATGCATTTTCTAAAAGTTGGCCCTGTTGCAATCTTTAGCAGATATTTTTATCATTTGGTAACATATAAATTGGCGAAAACCATACAAATAGCTTAATTATTCAATATAATTTTCTTGTGGCTAAAATATTAGACTGCACTTTAAATTTTTTTTTTACCTGACTAACTAGTAATTAGTAGAAATAACAAAAAGAACAAAACATTTTCCGACAGTACCTTAAACTTTAATTTTGTTCTGTATATGTCTAGAAATTAGTTGGTATTTTCGCTACCCCAGGTATTACCTTGGTGATATTAATGTTGGGTTTTAGGAAAAAAAAGTTTAAGAAAAAAATTTGGCAGGAGATAAGCACGCTCATTTGACAGTCCATTCTATGAGCCAGTAAACGTTGGTGATGAAAACACGAAGACAGCAATAATCAATAAACATGTCTATTTGGAACAGGTGATTCAAGTGACAGACATTTGTACTAAGGACAGACTAAGCATAGATATATTGTGCTAATAAAAGACTAATCTTAATGTTGCTAAGATGTTTATTAACATTAGAGCAACTATTATTTTGAAACAGCTTTACAAACATAATTGGATTCAGAAAACAATGGGATAATTAGAACAAATTTCCTATCACTTTGGAGGACTTTTTATAATTTAAATAATATATGTAAGCATACATATATAGAAATATATAATATGTACACATGTATACTATACTATATATTACAATTATTAACTATTAAAATATAATTATTTATTAGATTATGTATTATAATATTTTTATAGAATGCATTATGTAATATATTTTATTATGTATTATATTATGATGTAACAAATAATTGTATCATTTATGTAATATATACAGTTATTTTATTAGCAAATGAGAATCAACATTTAAATAATCTCCTGTACCTCTGTGAATCAATATTCAAAAGTGTGGCAGGCAGATCACGAGGACAGGAGATCGAGACCATCCTGGCTAACAAGGTGAAACCCCGTCTCTACTAAAATTAAAAAAAATTAGCTGGGCGTGGTGGCGGACACCTGTAGTCCCAGCTACTCGGGAGGCTGAGGCAGGAGAATGGCGTGAACCCAGGAGGCAGAGATTGCCGTGAGCCGAGGTGGCGCCACTACACTCCAGCCTGGGTGACAGAGTGAGACTCCGTCTCAAAAACAAAACAAAAAAAGAAACATACATTTCTGCCTTTATGCTAAAAAATACTGTTATGATATATCTGACTTGTTTTGTGCTAAACCCTACCAGGGCCACATAAATATAACTTAGCTGTTTACACTAGCAAATAACTGCTCTTGGAAGATAAGACTGGCCAATAACTAGAGAGTTAAATTATAAGGACTAACAGCTTAATCATAAGACTCACTTGAAACCCTCACCTTGCTTTGCCCACCATTCAAAGCCATTATATTTTAACCAACTGAGCCTCACCATGTCCTATCTTGCAAAGCCCATATTAAAATCACCCAGGGATATTGGTCTAAAATTCTCTTTTTTTGTTGTGTCTCTGCCAGGCTTTGGTATCAGGATGATGCTGGCCTCATAAAATGAGTTAGGGAGGATTCCCTTCTCTGATTGGAATAGTTTCAGAAGGAATCGTACCAGCTCCTCCTTGTACCTCTAGTAAAATTCGGCTGTGAATCCATCTGACCCTGGACTTTTTTTGGTTGGTAAGCTATTAATTATTGCCTCAATTTCAGAGCCTGTTATTGGTCTATTCAGAGATTCAACTTCTTCCTTGTTTAGTCTTGGGAGAGTGTATGTGTCCAGCAATTTATCCATTTCTTCTAGATTTTCTAGTTTATTTGCATAGAGGTGTTTATAGTATTCTCTGATGGCAGTTTGTATTTCTGTGGGATCGGTAGTGATATCCCCTTTATCATTTTTTATTGTGTCTATTTGATTCTTCTCTTTTCTTATTAGTCTTGCTAGTGGTCTATCAATTTTGTTGATCTTTTCAAAAAACCAGCTCCTGGTTTCATTGATTTTTTGAAGGGTTTTTTGTGTGTCTATTTCCTTCAGTTCTGCTCTGATCTTAGTTATTTCTTGCCTTCTGCTAGCTTTTGAATGTGTTTGCTCTTGCTTCTCTAGTTCTTTTAATTGTGATGTTACGGTGTCAATTTGAGATCTTTCCTGCTTTCTCTTGTGGGTATTTAGTGCTATAAATCTGCCTCTACACACTACTTTGAATGTGTCTCAGAGATTCTGGTATGTTGTGTCTTTGTTCTTGTTGGTTTCAAAGAACATCTTTATTTCTGTCTTCATTTCGTTATGTACCCAGTAGTCATTCAGGAGCAGGTTGTTCAGTTTCCATGTAGTTGAGTGCTTTTGAGTGAGTTTCTTAATCCTGAGTTCTAGTTTGATTGCACTGTGGTCTGAGAGACAGTTTGCTATAATTTCTGTTTTTTTACATTTGCTGAGGTGTGTTTTACTTCCAACTATGTGGTCAGTTTTGGAATAGGTGTGGTGTGGTGCTGAAAAGAATGTATATTCTGTTGATTTGGGGTGGAGAGTTCTGTAGATGTCTATTAGATCTGCTTGGTGCAGAGCTGAGTTCAATTCCTGGATATCCTTGTTAACTTTCTGTCTCGTTGATCTGACTAATGTTGACAGTGGGGTGTTAAAGTCTCCCATTATTATTGTGTGGGAGTCTAAGTCTCTTTGTAGGTCTCTAAGGACTTGCTTTATGCATCTGGGTGCTCCTGTATTGGGTGCATATATATTTAGGATAGTTAGCTCTTCCTGTTGAATTGATCCCTTTACCATTATGCAATGGCCCTCTTTGTCTCTTTTGATCTTTGTTGATTTAAAGTCTGTTTTATCAGAGACTAGGATTGCAACCTCTGCCTTTTTTTGTTTTCCATTTGCTTGGTAGAGAATTTTAGACCAATATCCCTGATGAACATCGATGCAACAATCCTCAATAAAATACTGGCAAACCGAATCCAGCAGCACATCAAAAAGCTTATCCACCATGATCAAGTGGGCTTCATCCCTGGGATGCAAGGCTGGTTCAACATACACAAATCAATAAACGTAATCCAGCATATAAACAGAACCAATGACAAAAACCACATGATTATCTCAATAGATGCAGAAAAGGCCTTTGACAAAATTCAACAACCCTTCATGCTAAAAAATCTCAATAAATTAGCTATTGATGGGACGTATCTCAAAATAATAAGAGCTATCTATGACAAACCCACAGCCAGTATCATACTGAATGGACAAAAACTGGAAGCATTCCCTTTAAAACTGGCACAAGACAGGGATGCCCTCTCTCACCACTCCTATTCAACATAGTGTTGGAAGTTCTGGCCAGGGCAACTAGGCAGGAGAAGGAAGTAAAGGGTATTCAGTTAGGAAAAGAGGAAGTCAAATTGTCCCTGTTTGCAGATGACATGATTGTATCTCTAGAAAACCCCATCGTCTCAGCCCAAAATCTCCTTAAGCTGATAAGCAACTTCAGCAAAGTCTCAGGATACAAAATCAATGTACAAAAATCACAAGCATTCTTATACACCAATAACAGACAAACAGAGAGCCAAATCATGACTGAACTCCCATTCACAATTGCTTCAAAGAGAATAAAATACCTAGGAATCCAACTTACAAGGGATGTGAAGGACCTCTTCAAGGAGAACTACAAACCACTGCTCAATGAAATAAAAGAGGATACAAACAAATGGAAGAACATTCCATGCTCATGGGTAGGAAGAATCAATATCGTGAAAATGGCCATACTGCCCAAGGTAATTTATAGATTCAATGCCATCCCCATCAAGCTACCAATGACTTTCTTCAAAGAATTGGAAAAAAAATACTTTAAAGTTCATATGGAACCAAAAGAGAGCCCACATTGCCAAGTCAATCCTAAGCCAAAAGAACAAAGCTGGAGGCATCACGCTACCTGACTTCAAATTATACTACAAGGCTACAGTAACCAAAACAGCATGGTACTAGTACCAAAACAGAAATATTGACCAATGGAACAGAACAGAGCCCTCAGAAATAATGCTGCATATCTACAACCATCTGATCTTTGACAAACGTGACAAAAACAAGAAATGGGGAAAGGGTTCTCTATTCAACAAATGGTGCTGGGAAAACTGGCTAGCCATATGTAGAAAGCTGAAACTGGATCCCTTCCTTACACCTTATACAAAAATTAATTCAAGATGGATTAAAGACTTAAATGTTAGACCTAAAACCATAAAAACCCTAGAAGAAAACCTAGGCAATACCATTCAGGACATAGGCATGAGCAAGAACTTCATGTCTAAAACACCAAAAGCAATGGCAACAAAAGCCAAAATTGACAAATGGGTTCTAATTAAACTAAAGAGCTTCTGCACAGCAAAAGAAACTACCATCAGAGTGAACAGGCAACCTACAGAATGGGAGAAAATTTTTGCAATCTACTCATCAGACAAAGGGCTAATATCCAGAATCTACAATGAACTCAAACAAATTTACAAGAAAAAAACAAACAACCCCATCAACAAATGGGCAAAGGATATGAACAGACACTTCTCAAAAGAAGACATTTATGCAGCCAACAGACACGTGAAAAAATGCTCATCATCACTGGCCATCAGAGAAATGCAAATCAAAACCACAATGAGATACCATCTCACACCAGTTAGAATGGTGATCATTAAAAAGTCAGGAAACAACAGGTGCTGGAGAGGATGTGGAGAAATAGGAACATTTTTACACTGTTGGTGGGACTGTAAACTAGTTCAACCATTGTGGAAGTCAGTATGGTGATTCCTCAGGGATCTAGATCTACAATTACCATTTGACACAGCCATATATGACCCATATACTGGGTATGTACCCAAAGGATTATAAATCATGCTGCTATAAAGACACATGCACACGTATGTTTATTGCGGCTCTATTCACAATAGCAAAGACTTGGAACCAACCCAGATGTCCAACAATGATAGACTGGATTAAGAAAATGTGGCACATATACACCATGGAATACTATGCAGCCATAAAAAATGATGAGTTCATGTCCTTTGTAGGGACATGGATGAAGCTGGAAACCATCATTCTCAGCAAACTATTGCAAGGACAAAAAACCAAACACCGCATGTTCTCACTCATAGGTGGGAACTGAACAATGAGAACACATGGACACAGGAAGGGGAACATCACACACCGGGGCCTGTTGTGGGGTGGGGGGAGTGGGGATGGATAGCATTAGGAGATACACCTAATGCTAAATGATGAGTTAATGGATGTAGCACACCAACATGGCACATGTATACATATGTAACAAACCTGCACATTGTGCACATGTACCCTAAACCTTAAAGTATAATTAAAAAAATAAAATAGAATAAAAAAAAGTAAAGTCACCCAGACCAGGCCCTCCATCTCTTTTGTAATTTTTAATATTTATATGTTTTCACCAGAGGTACCTTGGTTACTCTAACAACCTGCTCCTGAATGACTACTGGGTACATAATGAAATGAAGACAGAAATAAAGATGTTCTTTGAAAAACAACGAGAACAAAGACACAACATACCAGAATCTCTGGGACACATTCAAAGTAGTGTGTAGAGGCAAATTTATAGCACTAAGTGCCCACAAGAGAAAGCAGGAAAGATCTCAAATTGATACCCTGACATCACAATTAAAAGAACTAGAGAAGCAAGAGCAAACACATTCAAAAGCTAGCAGAAGGCAAGAAATAACTGAGATCAGAGCAGAACTGAAGGAGATAGAGACACAAGAAACCCTTCAAAAAATCAATGAAACCAGAAGCTGATTTTTTTGAAAAGATCAACAAAATTGATAGACCGCTAGCAAGACTAATAAAGAAGAAAAGAGAGAAGAATCAACTAGACGCAATAAAAAAATGACAAAGGGGATATCACCACTGATCCCACAGAAATACAAACTACCATCAGAGAATACTATAAATACCTCTACGCAAATAAACCAGAAAATCTAGAAGAAATGGATAAATTCCTCGACACATACACTCTCCCAAGACTAAACCAGGAAGAAGTTGAATCTCTGAATAGACCAATAACAGGCTCTGAAATTGAGGAAGTTTGATTTTCCATATGCATTTTAAAATTTGAATGAGAAGTTATATGAAAAAATAAAATTAATTAAATTTTTTATTGTAATCGATTGAACGTAGAGATTAATGGGGGACATTTATAATATGAATCTTCTCATTAATATATACTGGATTTTGGGGCTCTAGCTATTTATTTTGGATTTAACAGTTTTCTACAAAATTATTTTTAAGTACTGCATATTTTTATGGTACTATAAATGTATGTTTAAAATATTTCCTCTGTTTTTATATAATGATACATTGGTTTTTTGATATTGGTATTATGGTAAAATGTCTGGATTACTTATAATAAAATTGAGTATTTGTCTTTTTAGAGGATTATCTTATAAGTAGCTTACAACTGAATTTTGTTAGTTTGAAAATGTGTGTCTTTCATTGGAGAGATTTAGATTTTAATATTCACCGTGATTATTGGAATATTTGGGGATATGTTTATACATTTAATTTTGTGTTATTAGTCTTGATTTTCTAGGCTTATTGATTGAGCACATGATTTTCTCACTTATTTTTTTGTGCTATAATTGAAAAAGTTTTTTTCATTTTTCATTCCAGATTTAACATATATACCAAAATAAATTCCTTGAAATCAAATATCTTTATAACTGTTTTAAATATTATAATTTCAGTTGACCCTGAACAACACTTCGCTGGTCCGCTTATACATGTATTTACTTCTATCTCTCCCACCTTGAAAAAATAAGACGAACCCCTTCTCTTCCTTCTCCACCTTCTCAGACTATGCAAAGGTGGTAAGGAGGAAAACCTTTATGATGAACAATTTCTAATTAATAAATAGTAAATATCTACTGTTTTTCCTATGATTTTAATAACATTTTATTTTCTCTAGCTTACTTTGTTGTAAGAATACAGTATGTAATTCATATGACATACAAAATGTCTGTTAATTGACTGTTTATGTCATCAGTAATGCTCTTGTCAACAGTAGGTTATTATTAGTTAAGTTTTTGCGGAATCAAAAGTTATACCTGGATTTTTGACATTGTAGTAGTTGGGCTTCCCTAACCCGTGAGTTGTTCAAAGGTCAAGTATACCTTAGTATGCTCTAAATCCAGCTATCTTTTCTCATCTCAATGAGTATGCTGAATTTGTTAAGCTATATGCTACTATCTTACTTAATTTACTAAATCTAATTCAAACCAATTCATATTATTTTCTTTGTTCATTTCTTCTCACATTTTGTAATTTCTTCTTTATGTTTCTCTTTCCTTAAGTATAAAATATAACGTTTTTAGCAAAAATAATTTTTAAATAGTCTCAGGTTTTTTTTCTGAAAATATTTTAATTCTATCTAACACTTGAAATCCATTTTATTGGGCCTACATTTCCAGAGTTTTAGATAATTCTTATGACATTCTGATTGTATTATTTCACAGTCTTAGAGCTTTCATGGTAGCTATTGAGAGGGTAAAAATCTATTTGATGTTTCTTTTATGTAATCAGTTTTATTCTTTCTGGTGCTTTATAATGTATCTAGGCACATATTTTAAAAACTTACACTGTCAAGATTCATTTGGCTGTGCAAAATTTGTAATTCACATTTCATATAAGTACTGGAAATATCTTTTCTCATCCTGTCTGTATCTCAATTTTTTATAAAATCTCCCACTGAAAATCCAATTAGCAGATAAACCTTTTGTCTTTATCATCATTTTTTAAATTTTCTTCAACGAACTTTATTGCAGTGCAAGCTGAGATATGTATTATTTGTTTGCCCTACAAAGAAAAACAGAATTGATAGGCATCTACCAATCTCTAACACAATTTTCTATCTTGGTCTAGGTAAAACTGAAATTGTGGGTCACTATTGATGATCAGGTATCCCTATGGCAACTAATGACTTTCAGTCCCTCTTTACGTCTATAAATTTGTGCTTTCTAAGGATTTTTAGCTTCTGAGAATTTCATTTACTTTATTGTATTCTGAGGTATATAAAGATACTAAAATGTATTTTTTCATTTTCCTGATTTAAAGTATAGTTCAGTTTTTCAATTTTTAAACTTAGTGCAGGCTAAGTTTTTAAATACATATAATCATTCTAATTCCTTAAAGAGAATTCCTGAGAAGGTCCTTATACATTATTGAATCTTATGAAGATGAGATGGCTGTGTGACCACAAATATTATTTTATTGCTACAATGGATGATATATGTATAAATCATAAAGTGACCATGAATTTTGCTAAAATATTTCCATTATTATTTTGGCTTTAAGTCATATTTTCTTTTACAAATGAAAAAAATTTATTTTTATCTTTTATCTTCATCAAACTTGTTATTGAAAAGCTTTAATCTTACTTTGGTATATGATTTTTCTAAGACACACTTTAGTCTTTCAAATTGTCTATGATATTTACATTACTAATGTATTAGTCTGTTCTCACCCTGCTAATAAAGACATACCTGAGACTGGGTAATTTATAAAAAATAAGGTTGAATTGACTCGCAATTTAGCATTGCTGGGAGGCCTCAGGAAACTTACAATCATGGTGGAAGCTGAAGCAAACATGCCCTTCATCACATGGCAGCAGGAAAGAGAAGAATGAGGACCAAGCAAAGGTAGAAGCCCTCAGATCCTGTGAGGACTTACTATCACGAGGATAGCATGGGGGAAACCATCCCTATGATTCAATTACCTCCCACTGGGTCCCTTCCACCACATACGGGGATTATGGGAACTACAATTCAAGATGAGCTTTGGGTGGAGACACAGTCAAACCATAAAAACTAATAAGTCTGGAGATAACATTAATTCAACTATCATTAAAAATAACTGTATATTGAATAAAACAGACAAAGATATTTTTGAAATCAACACAACTTGATTATTGTCCATTAAAAGTGTAGACAAATGCACAGAAACAAGTATAAAAATGAAAAATTACTATATGTGACAATATGTTTATAATTCAATAAAATATTTAAATATTATCGACACACTATTTGTTTATTTACTTATTTATTTATCTGAGACATGGTCTCATTGTCAACTAGGCTAGAGTACAGTGGCACAATCTCAGATCACTGCAACTTCTGCCTCCTGGGCTCAAGTGATCCTTCCACTTCAGCCTCCAGTGTAGCTGGGACCACAGGCACACACCACCATGCTTGGCTAATTTTTGTTTTATATTTTTTGTATAGAGAGTTTTTGACATGTTGCCCAGGCTGGTCTTGACTTCCTTTGCTCAAGCAATCCACCTGTCTTAGCCTCCCAAAGTGCAACACATACTTTATAATAAGACAAACACATATTTTGGTAGAGAATGAAGAAAGAATAGCTAATAATTGCAGAGTAAAATATTGGCTAGCAAGGCAAGAAAAAAGCAGAAGAGCTTGAAAATAGATTAATTATATTGATTTTCCTTAGGCTCATAGAAGATTTTAAGTAAGATTAATAAAGTAAAACCCACAAGAGAGTTTCCTGAGTGTCTTTTGGTCCTCAGCCTTTTATAGTCACAAGTTCCTTTCCTTTTTAAGCAAAATTGCTCAAAGTTCAGCATGCTCCTATGATTCTTAAGACTTTTTCCCCCAATCGTTTTTCTATAGGCTGAATGCCATCCCTATTCCTTCACTTCCCCAAAGTATTACCAACAAAAGGCTACTATATACGGGAAAATACAGGGAGGTTATACAATGTAGAACATGGACAGTATATTCTAAAGAGCACTCTTCTTTTTTTCACTATAGCTGCTAGAATCCAAAATCCTAAAACATTATTATTTTGTGTATAAAGAGGTTTAGTCTCCATGCCTATCTACAATCTCCTTAAACTGTCCTGGTTAACAAAAGGCCATCTTATAGATATATGCCTTTTGGTAGAAAAAAAAAAAACACAGTTGTTTTACCTTTGTTTGCTTGTTTATTTTGAGGAAGGCTTCCTCTTACGCATAGTCTCTCATGTATAAGTATAGTATATAAATATTCATTCTTTTCTAGTCCTTTGTACAATTACAGGAATTATGTGGTGTGTGAGTGTGAATGTGTGTATATTATAATTTTTCCTTTTCCAAGTATGTGAAGCTAATTCAACATGTGGAAATTCCTCAGTATATAATTTTCTACCTATTATTTGTGTACAACATAATATAATTGTCAGAAGAATCCAGTGCTTTTACTGTATTTTTTTAAATCGTCAATAATCTACACTAATGTGTAATCAACAAAGCCTTTGTTAACATCCTAAGTATTTGCAGATCTTATGTGTCATGACCAATAGTCAGTTTTTGTAATAAGAAAGACTAGTATTTAGTCCAGTGTGGATAATTTAACAGATTACTGACTTATTATGGAGTTCATAACATAGACTTCTATAATTGCATATAATACCAAATCATCAGATTTAAATGTGCACAAAATATAAACAAATATCTTATCAAATTATTTTATAAGTATAGACAATGCCTTTTTAATAAAAATTACATGTTTGCATTATTCATAATTAACTATGTATACTGTGCATTCAACAAAATTTCATGTTTATGAGAATGTATAATTTCATTTTATGTTAATTAATGAACATATTTCAGGGCAGTGGACCAAGAGTTGGATGATATATACAGTTAAATCAGACATGCATCTTATTTTTTCAAGATAACTATAATTTAATAGAGTAGATAAACTATACATGCACCTTAATAACTACCATCCAATATCAAAGGTAGATGAAAAACTGTTTGTAGGGTAAGGACACACCAGAGCACAAGTCCAAAGCATAACAAATAGGCTATCTAAGTCCCAATATATTTATGGATGACGAAAGGGTTATAACAGCATTTTCCTATTGAGACAAAAAATACCTTATACAATTCTATATTTGTATATACAGAGAAAACATTTTACTATTTCATAAGAAAACATTTGAGTTATAAATTGGTTAACAATTATTCTGACATGTTTGGAAATAACTAGGAAAAATAATTGCTGAAAATATACTCCTTCCTATAATGGTGGTATAAAATATGTATTTTAATCATCAACAGATTTAAGAAACTGTTCCAGACAAGAATTTGAAATACAAATCTCTCACACCGCTGGCAGTTATGGTGCCTTATCTCCCTAAAGCAGTGCCATCATAGGTAAATGAAGAAAACGGGCTTTTTTATGTTTTAGATTAACCACAAGAGGGAACTCATAGAGACCTGTTAATGTAAGTAAAACATATTAACAATGATAAAAAATGTTATTCTGCAGAGTTCAAACAAAGTTCAGTCTCTGTTATTATGTTTTAGTACTATGATGCTTGAAAGTAAGTTTTGAAGAAAACCAATTACTTTCCTTACAATTCCTGAACTCATTTCATAACTATTAAAGATTTTTGTGTGTCTTATTATAATATTTGGTTATATAATTAATTATACTTTTTAATAAGGCAAGGAATGGAGGTCCAATAATAGACAAAGTTTTGAACTGACTATGAACTTTTTACACTACAGTGTCACTCTGGGATTTTGGACATCCTCTAACTCCTCTGTACATGATTCTCTTTTCACTAATCTCAGAGGAATGACAACAAATATATTAATTTGTTAATGTTCACAATACTTTTCAAAAAATGCTTCAATGTCTGTAAATAATGTATGATAAATCCAGAAAGAAATAGTGTAATTATATTATAATATAGGCACTTTAAGTTTTACAGCAAATTTGGCCCTGGAAAGAGATTAAAAGGGATCATTTCTCCTCCAAATGTAGTTAGAATAATAAGCAAGATTGAATCTGAAGGTGTCTTATATTTTGACATTTCTTTCCTCTAGGACAATCATTATTTCAAATGAAAGGGGAGATTTAAGGTTGCAAATGAAATGAAGGTTGCTAATCAACTAATCATAAATCATAGCGAGATTATTCCGGATTATCTAGGGAAGCCCAATATAATCACAGATTTCCTTAAACTGTTAAGTGGGAGGCAGAAGAAGAGAAACAAGAATATTTGACCATGGTCACAGAAATTAGATATTTTCTGGCTTTGAAGATGGAGAAAGAGGCTCATAACCCAGTGAATGCAGAATGCAGGTAGACTATAGAAAATGGACAAGACAAAAAAAACCTTCAAAAGGGAATACAGCTTTTCTAAGACCTTGAATTTGTTCCTGGAGAACCACATCAGACTTCTGACCTACAGAACTGTGAAATATTAAATTTATGTTGTCCTAAGCCACTAAGTTTGTGGCAATTTGCTATAACAGCTAGAGGAAACTACTACAGATTTTGGTACCTGGAAGTGGAATGGAATTATAATAAATACCTAAAAAGTATGGACGTGGCATTAGAATTCGGCAGTGGAAAGAAGCTGGAAGAAGTTTGAGGAGCATGATAGTAAAAGCCTAAACTGCTTTGAGCAAATTTTTAGTAGTAACATGGATATTAAAAACTCTGCTAGGGAAGATATAGAAGAAAATGAGTGTCATGGCAGAGCAAACATATACTGCTTTAGATAATGCTTAAAAATTAACTGACTGTAGAAATATGGACATTAAGGGAACTGCTGGTGAAGGTTCAGAAGGAAATGCAAAACATGTTTGTGGAAATTTGAGTAGAAGGGATCATTGTTATGTACCGATAGAAAGCTTAGTAGAATTATTTACCACAGTTATATGAAAAGCAGGACTTGCCTATGAGGAAAAATGACTTTTAACTGAAAAGATGTCAAGAAAAGTGTGAAAGGTACAGCCTGGTTTCTTCTTACTGCTCATAATAAAATGATGGAGGAAGAAGATAAACAGAAGAACTGTTAAACAAAAAGAAAGCAAAACTTGATGATTTGGTAAATTCTCAGCCTTCCCAGATGACAAAAGACAAAAATTGGATTTACTCTTAGGAAATAAACACTCAGGATGTGATGGAACAACCTATTGTGCAATCAATAGTTGAGATGGTCAATTAGAACACATGTCAAATGAAAGGAGCAATCAAACCTTTATTCACATACTGTTAGGTTGAAAATAAGAGCAATATATAGGCACTAGCTTGCTAATATTCCATTTTTCCCACGAAATAGCACTTATAGTGAGTTAAGTGGATACAGAACAGACAAGGAGAATCACCTCATTATCAAAGAGCCCTGAAAAAAAAAGGGTTCTTGGCCTATTTTTGAAGTGCTGGGCTTAGATGTGGGAAGAGAAGGCAAAGATAGGAGAGAAAAAGTTCTGAGTCAAAGTTGAGAAAAGTGCCTCAGTCAAAGCCTCCAATAATGAAATATCAACAGTGTTCAGGAATTTCCTCAGCCAAGGCTCCTACTGATAAGGAGGCTTCTGAATAGAGGCACTGGGGTTCGAATGCAGCGATGCACATGAGCATGGTTGACTTGAGGAAAAGGGGCTCACAGTTGAGTACATGACTTTGACTCTCTCCAGAAAACTGGAATGTATTGATTGTTCACAAAGTCTTGTGTGAGAGGACAGCCTACTCTCATGAGGCCTGCCAGACAAAGCCCTGTAACTGCCTGTACTGGGACCCAAAAGATCTTATGTAGGATACTGGGCTGTAATCAGCCCCACGGGATGAAAGGATCCCATTTAGGACTCATCACAGCACAGACTGTGAGATTCAGGCCAGGCAACTGCCCCTAGTTTAGAAGTTGTGAGGAAGAGATGAACACAGCTGGCCTGACTGCTATCTTTTGATAGGCCTGATTCCAAGATTGGCCTTTGGTAGGCATTTGGAAATTTGGATTTCAGGAAGGCTCTCACCACTCCAAATGATAAAGAGTGGCTAATTGTCCCTAAACTGTGCAAACAATGTGGTTTCTTCTCAACACTTGCTTTCCTTCTGGGAATCTGGAATTTTGGTACATGCTAGGCACAGAATGCCTAAGTGACTTGTTCTTAATAAAATCCCTGAGCACTGGGTCTTAATTCCTCAGAAAGATCAAAAGTTCAAAATATGTAGTCACAGAAAAGGCAATTTGAAGAAATTAAGTGTGTGATTCATTGATCCTCTAAATCATCTCAGCCGAAGCCACAAGTAGCCATGGGGTTATCTAAGAAAGATCCATCTTGTCTAATGGAGTAAATTCCCCTGACACTCAGGAGAGCCACAAAATTCTTGAGAATTGTATGCCAGCACAAATGCTGTCATTATGAACCTGAATGGACTGAAAGAATATAAAATGAGGAAAGGTTGTTACACTCTCAAAAGTGTAAAGGCAGGAAAGTCTGGTAATACTATTCAGCTGCAAACATGGGATACCTTTCAGGAAAAAGAAAAAAAAATGGCCCACAGAGTGGAGTCATGGATCCCCAAGGGCAGAGCAGCACCACATCATCCCCAGGCCTTGAAACCAAATGGGGTTTGCCCAGCTAGATTTCTATAATTCTTGAACCTAGTCATTCCTTTTTCCTTCCATTTTCTCAGGTTCTGATAGGGAACATCTATCCTATTCGTTTCTCACCATTGTATTTTAGGAGCAGATAGCTTGTTTTCTAGTTTTTCAGATTTATAAGTAAAAAAGAATTTTGCTCTAGGATGAATTCTATCCAAAACCTCACCCAAACCCAATTTAGATGATTTACATAATGAAATTCAGGACATTTTAACTGATGAGAATAAAGACTAGTGTTTGGACTTTGAGTTTATACTCTAGTGAGTAAAGACTTTTTGGAGACCTTAGTGAAGATGAATATATTTTACATGTGACATGGACATGAACCTTTGGAGTCGAGAGGGCATGTTGTGATAGGGACAGTAATGCTTCTACTCACTCCCCAAAAAAGATGTTCACACCCTAATCCTTGGAACATGTAAATATGATAAATTTTATGGTGAAGATGGAATTAAGGTTGCAAATAAGCCGATCTTAAGGAGATTTTTCTACATTAGGAGGGCTCGATATAATCGCAGAGTATTTCAAAATGGAAAAGAGAGGCAGAAGAGGAGAGTCAGAGAACATGTAAATATGTAAATATGATAAATTTTATGGTGAATATGGAATTAAGGTTGCAAATAAGCTGATCTTAATTAAGGAGATTTTTCTACATTAGGAGGGCTCTACATAACCGCAGAGGATTTAAAAATGGAAAAGGGAGGCCGAAGAGGAGAGTCAGAGAAAGCCGTGACTGTATGGGAATAATCAGAAAGATGCAAAGTTGCTGGCTTTGAAGACGGAGGAAGGAGACCACGAATGCAGGTACGCTCTAGAAGACAGAAAAATCAAGAAAACAGATTCTTCCCTAGAACCTTCAGGAAAGAATGCAGCTCTGAGAACGTGTTGATTTTAGCTCGGTGAGATCTATGTGCAACTTCTAACCCATAGAACTGTAAAATCATGAATTTTTGTTGTTTTAAGCCAGTTTGTGGTAATTTATAACTATAGTAAAAGCAACAGAAAAGTAATACATCTAGGATTCTAAAAGACTAGATTTATTATTCTTAATCAAATTGTGTTTACAGTTTAGTCAAAAATACTACTACCCCATTGAATTAACCCAACTTAATGTGTGACTTTTATTTCTTACGCATTGATTATACATTTAAAAAAAATCCCTCCCCACGAGGTCGACCTACCTCTATTATGAAAATCTTTTGAATAAAAGCCTAAGTCTAATTGAAATCACCATTTGCATCTTTAGAATACCAAATCATTTAAGATATCCATGTAGATATCATTTTGCTCTATACTGCATCTATAAAATTGCACAGAAGGAAATAAATAATATAGACTTTTTGAATAACAGGATTGAATAAGCCTGTAAAGGCCAGGATATCTAACAACATCTTTCATGGTTTTATCCTTTCCTTAGCATCCCTTTCAATTTGTTTCTAGTCTCTTTTGTAACATTCTACATTCTGAAGCATCTTATTCTATCCCTGGATTCTTCAAATCAATGAAATTTTTTTATTGTTGTTGCCTGTAGCTGCCATAGTGTTAAAAGTATGATTAACTCATCATTGTCAGTGCAAAAACCCTTAGCTGAGAAGCAATGCCTTATTTTTAATAGAGAATAGATGAATTTTAGAACATTGTTGTTCTCTCGGCCTTCTACTCAAGCCTTTTGTAAATGATTCTGCCACGCTGAGACTTGGCACTTCCTGCTTCTGTCCATCTGTTATAATGGAATTTTGCCGTTTTTTTAAATGTGATAAGACAACTACACTTGAACATAAGTGCCAGCAAAACACAGACACAATTTTTAAGTATGCATAGCATTTCTAACACTACCCTTTAGGCAATATGCCATGAAGTCTGTGGCAGATTTGGTCTTCAATGGGGGAAAAATCTGTTTCAAACTCCATGTTCTGCAGAATTACATGTTCTGTTCATGTCAGATTTTATTTTGATCCTACGCCATGTTCAGCAAAGGGAAAAAAATGAATCACTATTGGCATTGTTAGAGGTCCATCTTCCATATAAAGACACAGAAATCAAATCAAATGTTACATGTGAAAGTAGAATGCACCACTCAGATGTGAGGCATTATCATTTTATAACTAACACATATTATTGTGCTTCATACAATAAAATGAATAAATAAGTTATTATAAAATGTTTCCCTGTGTTTTCATTTTGAATAACTATTTTTGAATTATTTGGCATAGGAAGTAACATTCTAAAGAATAGAATATGTTCTTTAACATTCAAAGATTAACTTATTTGGCAATTCTGCATTTACAAAGCAAAGTGACTACTATGTGCATAAGAAGTTTAGCATGCACAGAGCAGGGAGCAGTTGCTACAGAATAAGCTAGAACATGCTTAATATTTGTTTTTCCTCATTTCCTAAACTGTTAGAAAAACACTGAATGCTGAATGAATATTTAGGCTAATGATAAAATAAAAATAGGTTAAAAATTATACATGAAGAACAAAGCATGTATTTATAATATTTATATGATAAACACATTTTATATAGTACACATACATTTTTCTCATATTTTTATTTTCTTAGATAGGCTAATGTATACTAAAAGTAAAATAGGCAATTTTCAGTTGAATACAGTTTTCAGCAACAATCAACGTGATGCTTTAATCCTAAACCAAAATAACAGGCACTAAGTCGGTGAGATAAAAGAATATTTTTATAATCTAAAGTGATTGGCTTTATTCACCATATATTTGTAAAATAATCCATCTTAACTTCTAAGACTTTTAAACTTGTACATTAAATTTCCTTTATGACCTTTCTAAAGAGTCAAGAAGAAAAGGGAAACAGGCATTTTATTTAGTTTTCAACATCATTCATTCATCTTTGTATTGGTAATACATTCCCCTAGCTCATAATCTAAAAGGACACAAAGGAAATTATTTTTCTCACTTTTGGCAAATTCACTCAGTTCTCCCCAGAGGTAACTAGCATTATCAGTTTCTCATGTATCTTTCCCAGGGATAATTTTAATTGTATACTTGTTATATATACATATATACATATATATATATATGTATATATGTATGTGAGTGTGTGTGTATAATGGGCTTGTGTGTATATATATTATATATCTTATCACTTTGCAAACAAATAAGAGCATAAAATGTACAATATTCTTGTATTGTCCATCTAACAGTATATCAGTTCATGAGAAGCTTCCATATTCATTATAGTAGCTATCAGATATTTATTTATGTATAAATGCAACAGTCTATTTTGTTTATAATTAGTTAAATAGTATTTGATAAATATGTGGTTTTCAATATATTATCTCATACAATTTTTAATAATTCTATGAAAGAATAACCATTTCATTTTACACATAAGTATTTCAAAAATCAGAGTTAAGTAATACTTGGTTATGGGACTGGGATTCTCTAGGCCCAAATCCCAAGATATGACATATATCCTAATCCATTTCTGTCTAAGCTCAATTTCATGCCATTATCTGTTTCAACATGATAAAACTGTGCCTTGACTTTTCAAATTTTCATCAGTGTTTCAATAATTATTTATATTTTAAATAATTATTTAATAAAAGTAGAGGTTGAACAAAACAGTAAAACTGAACTGGTTGAGCTATGGCAAAAATTCAAAGTAAATAGTGTTTGTTTGTTTTTTTTAAATCTTGTCAGTTAAATGAGCCATGCTAGAGAAAATATAGAGAAACTACTCTTGAACACTGATGTCAAGACTATGTTTGTGGAAGACAGTGTGGCGATTCCGCAAAGACCTAAAGACAGAAATACCATTCAACCCAGCAATCTCATTACTGGGAATATACCCAAAGGAAAATAAGTCATTCCATTATAAAGACACATGCACAAATATGCTCATTGCAGCACTATTTGCAATAGCAAAGACATGGAATCAACCTAAATGCCCATCAATAATAGACTGAATAAAGAAAATGAGGTACATACATACCCTGGAGTACTATGTAGCCATAGAAAAGAACAAGATCATGTCCTTCTTCGGGACACAGAGTTGTGATGAAATAATCTGTACAATAAACCGCCATGACCCAAGTTTACCAATGTAACAAAGCTGCTCTTGTACCCCTGAACTTAAGATAGAAGTTAAAAAAAAAAAGACTATGTGAACTATTTCAGTGAAATAACATTCAAAAAAGTGAAAAAAAAAACCCACAGAAATAAAACCTTCATATACCTCTTTTATCTTATGGAAAATATTATTTGCTATTGAATTTCTTTTATTACCCTCTATTTTCTAAAGCTGTTTTTCTCCTCTCTCTTTTATAAGCATCAAAAAGTACTAAAATATATGCTTAGCTCTCATTCAACAGTATTCACTGCCCTCAAATTCTTTATTTAATAAAATGATTTAACTAAATTGTGACTAAGGAGTAAATGGCTGACCTCCAAATCTTCTAGAATAAAGATATAATAATAAAGAAGAAGTACTAAAAGTAGAGGCATTTCAAAAGTCTATTTATTTCTTATGCTTGTGGTAGTCTTCCCTTTTGTTATCAGCTGAGCTCACAGTTTTCCCTCTTCTCTAAGGACGACAAAATACAAAAGTGTGCCTTTAGTGATGATGCTTATATTATGTGAATGCTACCACAGCCAGAGTAGTTAGATCTAATCATAGTTCCCTGACATAAGATTGAGCCAATCAGCTTCTTTATAAGAGGAATTTAAAATCAATCTCGAATTGGAAGAAAAAAGTCATCTTGTGGTTCCACAGAAACAGCAGACTATGGGAGTCTATGGACATCTGCTGAGCTCCCACTGAGTCTTTTATTTCCTATATTTTTATTGTTTGACTTTCTTTTATGTTTCCATTAATTATCCTCCCCATTTCTCGGTATTATTGTTTACTTTAAGCATTGATGTGTCATTTTTTAAAAATTTATTCAACAAATATTTAATATGAATTTTGAACTTCAATATGCTTCATCCTATTTTACGCACTGGGGATTTTTCAATAAAACCCCAACATGATTTTACACTTGTTGAACTTGCATTTTAAGAAAGACTGAGAGCAACAAGAAAAAAAAATATTATAATCTCATGTAATGATAAGTGATATGGAGAAAAAAATCTAACATAATATAGAAAGAGAGGAAGTTGGGAAGAAAGATTATTTCAGACAGGAAACAGAGCCTGTTCATGGAGAAGTCATTGCTCAGACTTAAATGATAGAAGAAGTGAGATTATAAACCTTAGGACGTTCAAGGGAAATAATATTCTAATGGGGAAGACAAGCATCTTCAAAGATCCTCATAAAGAACTACACGTTGGTGTGTTAAAAAAATGTATTGAGGAAGGAGGAATGTGGTAGGACAGGAGAAAAGGCAGTCAGGTGACAATATCTGAAATAGAGTAAATTTTTACAAATTAATTTACTCTTGGTGATTTACTTTCTTGATTTAAAAATAAAGATTCAGTGACTTCGTGGGTGTGTTGATGTGAGATAACATATTAAAATCACATAGCATATTGTTCCATATATAGTATTTGCTTTTCTTCCCTTTGTTAATTATGTTCTTGTTTAAATGTTAAAGTTGAGAGAAACTCCTACGCTATTATTATTATAGATTTAGGAATATATATTTGATAAGGCTGTTCAAAATGATAGAAAGACAAAAACTATGATTACAGTTAAGTTATTTGAAACAGTGCTTGATTTTCCTTGTGTTGATAGTATAATGGTATCTTCTATACACAAATATAATTAACGCACCTGATCTGACATTAATAGACAATATACTTTTAGTGATATAGTTTGAATTTAATAGTTGAACTGTGTCATTTATCTTTTCTTTTTGATCTTTCTTTTATTGACCATGTACTGAGAGTTTACAGTATGCTAGAACTTTTCTTTGAATAACGTCTAACCAAACTACCATTTACAATTCCAAAGAGGCAGAGAGGTTGAATTCTGCCCTCATCAGCCTAAATTTAAATCTGGTTATGTCTGATTCTAAACTCATGTTGTTTGCACTACACTGTCCTGTCAACAATTATCACAAATAGCATCTTTTGAATATTAACTGGATGGGTTTGCATATGTTGCTTCTGAGAAGGAGCAGGTTTTTCTATTTAACATAGCTTCCCTAGGTATAGACAATACCTTGCCCTCAAATAGGTAATACGGAAACTTGAATGAAAAATGGATGAATTAATAAAACTAACAGACAACAACTGCCCAAAATATTTCTGGTGTTACAAAGGGCAGAAACAAATATTTTTCAAGCCTAGTTTAAAAAGACATAAAATGTCAAAGCAAATATTAATGCACCAAATTCTAATTAATTGTAGTTTTGAGTTCAAACATTTGGAGAGGTTTGCCTTTTAAAAGATAATCATTTATAAATCTTACTGTTTTGCCATCTGGTGACATCTTGTGATGCTTATTTATATCATGACATGTTAAAGAAAAGTAATTCCCTTATATAATGACATGTTAAAGAAAAGTAACTGCCTTATATAATGATATGTTAAAGAAAAGTAATGACATGTTAAAGGATGATGTTTAGGCTTCACTATTGCAGTTGGGGGTGGCATTTATAAATATGGATTATTTGCAAATAGATTTATTTCATATTTTATTCCTTACTTGATACATCAAAAAAAAAATAAGAATGTGTATTTATATCCTTTTACTTTCCTGTCTTGCATAGCTTGATGGAAAATGAATTATTTTATGCCTGGTTAGAGATCATTGCAGTGTCTTCTCTCCATGGTTTAGCTGTAATTGTCAAATATTAAAGTAATCTGCAGTAGAACATGTTCATTTACATAAGGATGAAGTAAGGCTATTTTCAGTGATGTTACCTGAGGTTCTCTGAATTTCTCTCGATACTCTGTCACAGCACAGGGCTCCTTCTTCTCAAAAGATGGTGTATTCTCTGAGTTCCAGCTTGACATCTGGCAAGTAGATACATTTGCTGGTCACTGCAGTCCTGACAAGAATAATTAATTTTGTAATTCTCTTGGTCTTCTACAACAATAAAATAGTGAAAGTTTTTCACTAATCACACGGAAAAAATACTAAAAGATGAAAGCAGTAATATAATCCACAGTATTTCTCAAAGCCCACTGCCCAGTTAATACCAAATTCTTTATTCTCAGAACCATAATTTTAACAAAAGAAGAAAGCAGTGCTAGGTCTACATGTATTCCATGTGTGTATGTATGTGTGTGTATGTATGCTTGTGTGTGTGTATGTGTTTGTGTGTGTGTGTGTGTGTGTAAGGCAACTGTTACTTCAAGAGTGGTGATGAGCAATAATTTAATTCATTTCTTCAGTTGTTTAAATATAAAAGATTTGTTATCTGTTTTGTTCTAATTCTTTAATTAAATGTTACCTTCCCTTGCTGTAAAAATTATTTTAAATCTTTCGAAGTGCTTTGCCTTTACAAAATTTTATATATAATTATATATAAATATATATACATATTATATATATTATATATAATATATATTATATATACATATTATATATATTATATATAATATATATTATATATACATATTATATATATTATATATACATATATATATTGTATATAATATATACATATTATATATATTATATATACATATTATATATTATATATAATATATACATATTATATATTATATATAAATATTATATATTATATATAAATATTATATATATAAATATTATATATTATATATAAATATTATATATCTTATATATAAATATAATATATAATATATATAATATTTATATATTATATATAAATATTATATATATTATATAATATTATATATAATATATAAATATATATATTATATAAATATTGTATATATTATATAAATATTATATATATTATATATAAATATTATATATATTATATAAATATATATAAATATATAAAATATATAAATATGTAAAATTTATATTTATAAATATATAATATAAATATATAAATATAAATATAAATTATATATAATATATAATATATTATACATAATATATACTATATATAATATATAAGATATATTATAATATATTATATAATATATATATAAAATTCCCTGGTGACAATGCATCAGTACTTGAAAATATCACATTTTAAGAGTTGTGAAAATTAAGTGAAATAATTTATATAATACACATTGCAAAACATACAGTAGCCATTCAATAAGTGTAATCTATCCCCCTTCCATCTATCTGGCATTCTTTGAGTAGGAAAAAATATTACCAGCTTTGTAATAAGAACCATTTTCATATTAAAACTACTTAATAAAAATAAAATAATTTCATTAATTTAATAAAAATATCAACTTTTATGGAGTTAAAATTAAATGAGATTGCACATACATAGAATATATAGTATATACCTCATTTAATTATATATATTCTTTATATAGAATATATAAATTTAAATGAGACTAAATATATGGAATATTAAAAATCTATACATTCTATATTCTGTACATAGAGAATTCTATATAATTCTATATTCTATATAATATATAGACTATATTATATAATATATAGTATGTAGAATTTTAATAATTTAATATTTTAATACATTAATATATATTAATACTTTTATGTGTTTTAATTATATATTAATATTTTATTATATTAATATATTCTCTATGCGCTTATAAACTATGATTATCGTCATTATTTTACACAGGGCAAGCTACCAAGGAAAAAGGTATCCTTTGATCACACAACCAGCAAGTGGTAAAGCTAGGATTTGAACCCAAGCTATGTCTCAGTTCTAACCACTTTACTGTTATTTTCTTGAAGCCAAATATAGTATTTGTTTAGAAAAAATTCCTAATGACCTTATTTAAAGAAAAATTTACACCTCAAAGGGACAAACAGATTATAGAGCTCCATGGTTTAAGATAAAAAAGAAAAGTACCACAATTGTTGTTGAAGAAGAAGATGACAGAGAAAAGAGAAGGAAGCTGGGCCGGAGCTGTGTCTGGAATGAGCAAGGCTTTACTATATTCTGATGCTTCCAAACCTCCAATTCTTTTATCAGAAATACATAACAATCATAAGTATCTTGATGAAAAATAATTCTTGGAGAAATCACTAAAGGTTAAAGTGCCTTTGGCAGTTAGATTTCTGTTAATTAGACATTTGTCTGCCTTCTCTCCATCAGCTTCTCAAGGCTAAGAGTTGGTCTATGCTCAGGAGAAGTTACATGATTTATTTTTATATGACTTCTAATCCATCTGGCCCTAAGAGTTTATCATCATAAAACTAAAGATATTCTTTAAACTTTTGTTCAAGTGCATAATATATTGTTATGTCTCTAATGAGAAATTACCTGCCATATGATTAAGGAACTTGTTTGTGAACTAAACCAAAAATGCAAAAATAATAGAATATTCTATGTATGTAAATACAAAGTTATTTATTACCAATGTATAAATATTTTGGAATCATTTTCTTGGTTTCTTAACTATTGTAGAAGTTATTTCCTGTAGTTTGCATACTGTTTAGTTTAAGAATCCCCATAACTAGCAGACATTTGTTTAAATGAGCATATCCAACTACACAATAGGTAGAAGTAGCCTAAATCTTATTAACTCTAGTGATTGCTCTCATAACCATTTCAATGGAAAAGGCATGTTGCTGCCAAATTTTATCCAATATATTAAGTCTCTTTGGTTGCATAAAAAAAGACAAAGTAACCCTGAACTATAACATATTCCAAAAATCTGGTGCTTCATGAAGTGAGAAATTATGGGCCTGGGTTTTTATAAAATTTGAAAGGTCAAAAGGGTAAGCAGATGGCTAGCTGTAGAATTTATTGCACATTAAGCAATTGTGTTGATGTGCCAGGCAAAGTCCTGGAAGCTTATGAGACTGTAAAATTCAATGACCCTGTATTAGACTGAGGGTTCAGCTCATGATACACATGCAATTTTAGAGATCACATCTATCACTGGTTTATTATCTGTCAGAAACTCACACCATTCAACACAATTAATATCCTGCACTGTAGTTTTTACTATTGCTCTTTTTTTAACCTCTTTTTTTTCCATCTTGGTATTTTATGCTTCTTTTACAATATTACTAAGTTCAGGATAATCAAGTGACAGCTCAGCAATGCTAAATGATTTTCCAGTAACTTTTCAGTATTCATAAGTAATAAAATTGTATAAGGGATATAAAGAATTTAGATACTCAATCCCACAGACTGTCATCAATGTACATGTGTAATACTATTGTCATTAGTTGCAGCTTTGGAATACAGAGAACAGCAGTCTTTTTTCATACTATATAAAATACTTAAATTTCCTTTCTTAAAAAAAGTTAATCCTAAGAAGGTGATCTAGGGTAGTATAGTTGCAGACTCTTTCTCTAATCAAGCACAAACAAACAAAATTGTCAAAGACAAATATCTTGCACATCTAAAAAAGTGCTTTCTGGAGACTTGTTTTTAATGTGATACTAACAAAAATTTACCAGTATACTATGAGATAGCATGCCATAGTGCTCCACTTCAGATATTTTTAGTGGATGATGACTAATAACTTAATACTTACTCAATGTCAGATGTGGAACAGGAATTACTACAGCCTCACATATCTTATAAAACTTTACCCTCCCTTCTGAGTTTCCAAACCTCTGTATTTATGATTTTTAAGAATATTATATGAATGACCATAATTCTATTAAGTATACATTCAAAAATTCAAATTATTTGTAATTCTAAATAACAATCTGACTAAACCATAGTTCATCATTATATTCATTTAAGTAAAATATATTAATTTTTGATGCATTTAATTCTGTTTAATTGTACCTCTGAATTTTTGGCATCCTTAGCTAGGCCATCTTTACTGTTTCCAAAAAAACCAAGTGATAATATTCCTACTCCACATGTTTTAGAGGAAACACTACAAACATCAAAAATCATACTCAAAAGAACTTTTCCCCATATATACCTTCATTCAAGAATCTAATTGTAGGGTTTATTTAGTGTAAAGGACTTTGTTAAAGTCATGTTTACTCCTCCTCACTTCCATGGGACATTAATACAAGACAGGATATTTGCTTTAATACATATGTTTACCTGTACATTAAATTAATTTTAGAAGTAATTTATTTCAGGTTATAGAGGAAACTACTTTTTTTTAAATAACAGGCTGTCTTGTTTCATAAGATGTCTCGCTGAAGGAGACAGTCTTTGAAAATGTTATTTATTATTTTTTTTGAATTGACATGTTGTAGTTGTACATATTTAAGGGGTACAATTTGATGTTCGGATACATCAAAATATCAGTGATCAAGTTGTATAATGATCCAATTAGGGTAGTTAGAGTATCCAAAACCTCATACATTTTATCATTTATTTGTGTTGAGCATTTAAATGCCTTAGAGCTATTTTGTAATATACCATAGTTTACTCTCCCTTGTATCACAGAACAACGGAATTTAGTCCTGTTATCTAATTACTTTTTACACATTTACCAGCCCCCAACCCCCAATCTCCTCCTCAGTCCCTAGTAACCACTTTTCTACTCTCAGCTTCTCTGATATCAACTTTGTTTTATATTCTACATATGAGTGAGATTGTGTGATATTTATCTTTCTGTGTCTTGTTTTACTTAACATGAAGTCCTCCAGGTTCATCCATGTTGTCACAAATTACAGGATTTCATTTTTTTGTCCTAATAGTATTCCATCATGTATATACCACACTTTTTTTACACACTGAATTATTTATTTGGTTGATGCAGAAGTAACGGCAGCTTTTGCCGTTGAATGTAATGGCAAAATCCGCAATTAATTTTGCAGCAACCCAGTATCAGGGCATGAAATCCTAGTATGTGAACTTTTCTTAAATTTAATACCAAAAACAATTTTTTGACTGTATAAAAGGGTTGGTGTGATAGAAAGTGAAAAGTAAGGAACACCAGGGTGTGTTCCTCACTAAAATCACTTTACTCTCCAAAACTAAGTTGCACCTTCTCTATATATAAAAATTTGGGGACTATCGGTTATTTCCAAATAGTTCTCTAGTGGGTATCCTCCAGATTTGTTTGGAGACAAATCTGAATTTCAAATCTAGCTTAATTTCTTTATCTGTATCATTCATAATGTGACATCTTCCATGAAACATTGCTATGAAATAAATTTATCAATAATCTACTTTAGCTTATGACATATAGATGATGCTATTACTAAATGCTCATTTCTTCAACTTTGTTCTTCTTTCCTCTGGCTCTTCCTTCTTATTCTAAGTTTCAATCATTTATCTTAAGAGATTTTATACTCAGGTCTACAAAATTTCTTGCAGTTAGAAAATTATTGTTGTATGAAAATTCATTTGAGAAGCACATATATGGTGTTAAATCAGTTCAATATTGAGAACTATACTAAGATGTATCTTTGCAAGTTTTGAAAAGAATACATATGACCTTGAAACAAACTGGAAAATAATGCCTAGAGATAGGCATAGGCTTAAATACAAGAAATTATGTTTTCACATCAAACAATATTCTGAGATTCAGTGGAAATTTTAAATTGTCTAATAATCAATGGAAAACATAAAAATGTCCCTTGCATTATCTTTATAAACTGGGCCACCCTTTGACAAAGTCATGTAAGACAGCCAAAATTCAAACTGATTTATGTTTTAAATATCTAAATTTAAATAAGAGTTGTGTATAATAAACATGAAAGAAGCAGGAGTCCATAAAGTTCCAAGTCTTTATCATTGTACGGAAAATGTACTTAAATATTTTATGTTTTTATCAAGTTTAAATGCCTTTGAAAAGTGAAGAAGAAAAGAAAAAATAAATATAAAAAAAATAAATATAAAGAAAAAAATATATATATACCTCAACCAGAAACGGCAAATTTCAATATAATGATCAAATTTAGTAGGAGTGGCAGAATCTTTAAGTAGCAAAGGACCAGATAATATGTAAATCCAGATTCTTAGGTGTTGAACTATATGAATCTGTCATCTGTGTTATAGACTATTTGACAACAACTCTATAAATGGATTTTGTGTGAATACCAATGCCACATACATGAATCTGGTAAGCATCCCAGTCAACAGTCCTTATCTGTATTAACTGCAAGCATACTGAAGAAGGCACTCACAAAATTACTTGGGAAGGTATAATGGCTTTGTTGATTGATAGTAAGAAAAATTTATCTGGATGTTTGCAGGTTCCAGTTTCATGCAAGGCCAAAAATATCTAGTCTTCAGTAATCTCAAGTAATGAGGCTTGAAACCTTTTCTTTGTGAGTAAATACCTTCTAATTCAGAAAAGTTTAGAATTAAGTCTAGAGTCTAGTTTGAAAAAAAATCATAATATTTATTGTTTGTGATAAGAAGCAATTATCAAATTGAAACTCCATAAATTTTATGTACTATTAGAGCATTTAAGAAAATTTTAATTTATCTATATTTATATATTTAATTTATTAAACATTAATGAATATTTTAATTCAGAAATGTTTTCTTTGCTAAGTCAGACAGTTGAAGTACTTATGAAATAAATAAGATATATTAAATTTTTAAATGCAGTTAAAATATTTGAAGATTTTTAATTAAGTTGGTAAATGGGATCAAACATTACTCAAAGCCAAGCAAAATTGATTATTAATACTAAATGTTAATGCTAAATGTATAAACAGGATAATAAAATCTGCCTGCTGAATTTAAGGCTTAACCATTTCTGTTATAACTTTAATGATTTAAATCTTAATATTGAATAAAAGTGATCTTCTCAAGAGTATTTTAAATATACAAAAACCACTGCTGAAAAATCCAAAATCTTTACAGAAATGAAAAGACCTTTTCTATCACTTCCCATCGTAGCATTTTGAGAAAATCACTTTATTTCACTCAACCTCAGACATGAAATCTATAAAATAGGGATAGAAATAACTACTATTTAATATAATTTCTTTGAAGATTGACAGAAACTGCATATGGAGCATTTATACAGTAATTAAAACATAAGTGAACAATAATAGGAATTGTTATTATTAAAACTCTTAGTGACCTTTTAAAAATACAATTATTTTGATTTCAGTACTTAAAATGTTCTTTTAAAATATAAATCTGGTATTCTCAATGCCAACATATGGAACTGAATTTAATAACATCTCTACTACTGAATACCTTCTTGGTAATTTGCCCGTGGAAATATTTGGAACACTTCGTAAATTAAGCAATCAAAGTGTTTCCAAATGAATCAGTAAGAAACATAATTTTTTCATATTTTGCCAAAATTTTAAAACATAAATTTGTGCTTATAAAATGTTTAATTGTAGCAATAAACCCTCAGTAAATACAAGACTCAAGTTTGCCAAAGGGTTTCTTCTTTCTTCTTCTTTTTTAAATTTTTTTCAGTTCATTGGAATCTTCCTCAAGAGATAAGAGTTTGTCTTTGGCTTATACAAAACAAAACAAACAAAAACCCTTTACCAATAATAAAAACAGCAACAATAAAATATGGGCTATATAAAAGATAATAAGTATGCCATCTTAATGCAGCATAAACCTGTAATTCCTAAATGTAATCAACTTTCCTAGGTAAAGATTTACAAGACAGGTAACTACTCTAGAAAGGCAAAATTGAGAATCAGTGGTTAGAGAATATTAATATTAGATATATATACTTTTTTTTTTTTTTGAGACGGATTCTCGCATTGGTCCCCTGGGCTGGAGTGCAGTGGCGCGATCTCGGCTCACTGCAACATCTCCCTCCCGGGTTCAAGCGATTCTCCTGCCTCACCCTCCCAAGTAGCTGGGATTAAAGGTGCCTGCCACCATGCCCAGCAAATTTTTTGTATTTTTACTAGAGACGAGGTTTCGCTATGTTGGTCAGGCTGGTTCCAAACTGATCTCGTGATCCGCCCGCCTCGGCCTCCCAAAGTGCTGGGATTATAGGTATGAGCCACCGCGCCCGGCCGATATATATACTTTCAAGCCTAGAGATTTTCTACCAAATGTCAAATGCTAGCAAACTGACAATATACATTATGAAATATCAAATGTGATTTAAAATCGAACATGAATAAATTATATAAGCTTCTTGTGTTCAAAGAAAAAAAAAACCCACTGATTTAAATATAACATTTTTAAGTACAACACGAACCAATGAGAGAGAAACTAAGTTACATTAAATTATTGTGTTCCTGAATATCCAGGTATTGGGCATACCTTAAAATGTAGAAGATTATGTCTCTCATAGTTTTCTTCACAATTAAGTAACAGGAGTAGAAATGTGGGGCTAAGGAGGAAAACATCCAATCAATTCTGATTTTGGTTCATTATGGTGAAATGTCTTTTTCATGTGTACATAAAACCTCATGGTTGTCTTCACTATCCAATCGCTTTAAGGAAACTTTGATACAGTCATTCACTTAGCAAGTATTTATTGAGCAATTACTGACACCATGCAAATGCTGTTAATGCATCAAAGAACAAAACTGAAAAGCTCCTCCTCTAAAATTTATAATCCAGTAGTAAAAGTATAAGATTACCTTTCTCCTACTTTGCTATTTTCTGCTAAAGTGAAATAGCAACATGCTGAGATGACATCTCTAAAACACTAAAAATTAGCTAGGCATGGTACTGTGTGCCTCTTTTCCCAGCTAATTGGGAGGCTGAGCTGGGAGGATACTTTGAGCCCAGGAGGTCCAGGCTGTAGTGGGTGATGGAGTGAGACCCTGTCTCCAAAGACAAAAAAATCAAAACCAGTTATTTTTGTTTTTAATGTTAATCTTAGCAAAATATTAATTAAATATTTGGCAACATTAGTCTAAATTTAAAGGAAAAGGATTCATTTTGACTCTAGACAAAGGAGGTGAGAAAACTTCTCTTTTAATTACAACTATTTTGTTTCACTTCTGCTAAGTGATATATATTTTTATTGACAAACATCATAATCAGACTTCTCAGGTCTTCAACAATAAAAGTTAATAATTCTGTTAACTGTATATTTTTAAACTGTGGAGGGAGCAAAGAAACATTTTCAAATCTGATTGGGATCAGCAGCAATGTACTCTGATTACTGTAGATTTTGTTTTTCCATTTTTGAAGCACTAGAGCCCCAGGCTAAAACTAAACTGAAGCACTGAAATCATCTCCTTTCCTATTTTTCCTGACAATTTTACAGTACTGACAGATTTCAGTAAATGGATAAAGTGAAAAAATAAAGTGTATATCATGTCTTTCTTTTCTCAGTGGTATTCCAGTATAATCACATAGTTGAAAGTTATTTGCAGAATAATTCTAGTCAATAACTACAGGAGAGATATTAGAAAGTCATTTTTGTAAGCCTAATGAAATGATAGATCTATGCAATGATCATTAATACATGTTGAATCTATATATATAAATTAATGAAAGAAAACTAACACTGGCCTCTAATGAATGTACTGATTAATTGTATCATTACTAAAATTGGAATTAACCACAAACCATGCCTCATGCTTACTGCAGTAGAATACAACATGCACAGAATCACTAAATTCATATCTTTTACTGATTCATCCCTAAAAACAGGAATAACAAGAGTAGGGAGTAAGAAACTACTAGAGATGGATCAGATGCTCACAAACAGAGAATTTTGCATTTGATAAGGTTTTCCCTCTGTTGTAAAAAATAATTGAGCTGATGAGAGTGGAAAGTTTCATCATTCCTTCTTATTTGTCTTACTCATATAAGGAAAAATTGGAACATTCATTTTATGCCATCAACTGGAGTATATATATTCTATGACCCTATGGTTATAAATGTAAAAGCAAATGAATTTATTTAACTCACTAGCCTGGTGAGTGTATATGTTTTAACTTTATCAACTTAATAGTTATTCATTTCCTCAATGCTCTGGTAGATTAGAGTTAGTCTTATAATAGATACTCAATTAACACTTACTAAATATAAGTGAGGTCAGGAGTGGTTGCTCATGCCCATAATCCCAGCATTTTGGGAGGTCAAGGCGAACAGATCACCTGAGGTCAGGAGACCTGGCTAACATGGTAAAATCCATTCTCTACTAAAAATACAAAAATAAGCTAGGACTGGTGGTGCACACCTGTTGACTCAGCTACTTAGGAGGCTGAGGTTGGAGGATCGCTTGAATCTGGGAAGCAGAGGTTGCAGTGTGCTGAGGCCATGCCACTGCACTCCAGCCTGGGTGACAGAGTGAGACTTTGTTTCAAAAAAATAAATAATAAATAATTATATATATAAAATTGAGGATAAGTAAATAATAATTTAAAATAAAGAATATAATCAGTGTGTTGAATACAGTGAGATAATATTATGTTATATGCAGATTATTTGAATATGTACCTTCCAAGATGAAAAGATACATTAATTCCATAAAAACATATTTCAGACTTTGATTGGTACTAGACAGTGCTTGAGAATATGCATGTAAAGGAAGATATGGTAAGGACATATTGCTTAATTTCCTTTTTTACTAGTCTATTTGGTTTTTTTTTTAATTTTATTTGAATCTTTTTTTACATTAAAAATTATCCACATGAATTGGTTTTATTAAATATTATTCTTTAAAATATCGCAGACCAATACTGTTATGGATCACATGGATATTGTCAGGCCTCCGAGCCCAAGCCAAGCCATCGCATCCCCTGTGACTTGCACTTATACATCCAGATGGCCTGAAGTAACTGAAGATCCACAAAAGAAGTAAAAATAACCTTAACTGATGACATTCCACCATTGTGATTTGTTTCTGCCCCACCCTCACTGATCAATGTACTTTGCAATCTCCGCCACCCTTAAGATGGTTCTTTATAATTTCCCCAACCCTTAAGAAGGTTCTTTGTAATTCTCCCCACCCTTGAGGATGTACTTTGTGAGATCCATCCCTGCCCGCAAAACATTGCTCTTAACTTCACCACCTATCCCAAAACCTATAAGAACTAATGATAATCCACCACCCTTTGCTGACTCTCTTTTCGGACTCAGCCCGCCTGCACCCAGGTGAAATAAACAGCCATGTTGCTCACACAAAGTCTGTTTGGTGGTCTCTTCACGTGGACGCGCATGAAAGATATGAACTGGATTTTTTAAACACATTATTTTTAGGTCTGGGAAAAATAATGACCTTTTATTTCTTCTCTATATTACTTTTCAGGGTATGTTTACCATTAAGCTTTTCCCAACTAATGCTCCATACTAATTCCTCTGGCATTCATGAACAGAGAATTATAAGGGCTAATTCTCTTGAAAGTCAGAGTTAAACAGTGAGTCATTGGGGACTGCAAGAACTTTTATTTGATTTTCCTCTAAATGTTAAATAGGTTTTAAAGAAAGCATTGATAAGCTAACAGGTAATAAAAACATAAGCCCTTTAATACAAAAGTTTAAAGAATAACCAGAAAAAATATACAATGAAGAAGAAAGATAGGCAAGTAAAAATTGCTGCCTATAGGATTGCTTTAAGCAACCACATAATTTATCATCCAAACTGATCATTTTGAAAATGCACTATTAATACTTACATTGGAACAGTATGTGTGACCTGTGTCTGTTCCAGTTAAAGCAGGATGTGTGATCACCCTAGAACTGCCTACTCAGGAATTTCCAATATACATTAATATAAAGGTAACAGCTTAATTCTCGTCTCTATTCCTCAAAAGGAAGAAGCAATAAGGGTATCAGGCTTACTCTTCACATTCAAAACACTTTTTTAAAAGTTGAATTCAGATTGTAAATAATAATTTCAAAAAAGAGGTGTTTTGATAATCATTGGATAATTTATATGTTTAACGTGCATTTTTTAAAAATGGTCATTTTGCTATATCTTTTTTAAAGTCATAAATGAAGTCTAAGAAATAAGCAGAGACAATGTCCTTCAGAGTAAAAAATAGTCTAAAAATATTTCACTTATAGAACAGAAATAGAATAAAGTTTATTGAAATATTATCTACATAATAAAAGTGGTTTTATGGTTTTTAATCTATTAAGCCAGGTTTAAAAATAAAACATAGGAAATAAACCTTAATTATAATTTTACATGTGACATAAAATAATAAGGCATTTTGTAATTATTATCTTTGAAATTCTGCTAGAAATATCATTGTTTATTAATATAAGTGTGATTTTGAAATTTAAATACATTCCAAGTAGCTTTGTTACCCAATTTTTTGTCACATTATTGCTCTTTAAGCAAAATAATGGCCCTAAATAATGGTTCTGCACCACGTATCCACCCTTGAATTGGATAAATTTCCATATCAGTTAAGATTTTGGGATAAAACTACTCAATAGATTGATGATGATTTCATTAAGGGGCTATATAAAAGATGTAGTCAAGTGCCAGCAAAAGCAGAAAACTTACCACCTCTACCCATGAGAGGACAAGGGGAGGAAGTGACTCCAGGCATCCAGAGGTAAGAGTTTTACCTATGGGTAGGAGGCCTTTGTTAGAAGGAAACAGCAGATCCTCATTATAATGTCTCTGAGAGGCAATGTGGAATAAATTCCTACAAGTGATTCACATTAGCAAACCTCAATTATAAGCCAGGCATCAGGGTAACCCAGCTGACAGAGTCCACAAGGGTCAAAGAGCATAGTAGAGGAGGGTGGCAAATATATCTGGAGAGGCAAACGAAAATGAAGGGATGGGTTGCCCCTCCACACCTGTGGGTGTTTCTCGTTAGGTGGAACGAGAGACTTGGAAAAGAAAGAGACACAGAGACAAAGTATAGAGAAAGAAAAAGGGGCCTAGGGGACCAGCATTCAGCATATGGAGGATCCACGCAGGCACCGGCCTCTGAGTTCCCTTAGTATTTATTGATCATTATCAGGGATGGCAGGATTATAGTGGAGAGAAGGTCAGAAGGTAACAAATGTCTCTGCATCATAAACTAAGGTAAAGAAAAAATTGCTGTGCTTTTGATGTGCATATACATAAACATCTCAATGCCTTAAGGAGCAGTATTGCTGCCAGCGTGTCCCACCTCCAGGCCTAAGGCGGTTTTACCCTATCTCAGTAGATGGAATATACAATCGGGCTTTACACTGAGACATTCCATTGCCCAGGGAGGAGCAGGAGACAGAAGCCTTCCTCTTATCTCAGCTGCAAAGAGGGGTTCCTTCCTCTTTTACTAATCCTCCTCAGCACAGACCCTTTACGGGTGTCGGGCTGGGGGACGGTCAGGTCCTTCCCTTCCCACAAGGCCATATTTCAGACTATCACATGGGGAGAAACCTTGGACAATACCTGGCTTTCCTAGGCAGAGGTCCCCGCGGCCTTCAGCAGTGTTTTGTGTCTCTGGGTACTTGAGATTAGGGAGTGGTTTGAGATTAGGGAGTGGTGGTGACTCTTAACAAGCATGCTGCCTTCAAGTGTTTGTTTAACAAAGCACACCCTGCACCACCCTTAATCCACTTAACCCTAAATTGACAGCACATGTTTCAGGGAGCACAGGGTTGGGGGTAGGGTTACAGATTAACAGCATCTCAAAGCAGAAGAATTTTTCTTAGTACAGAAGAAAATGGAGTCTCCTATGTCTACTTCTTTCTACACAGACACAGTAACAATCTGAACTCTCTTTCTTTTCCCCACACAAAAATATCCAGAACTCTACATTTTCGGTTTCTCACCATCCATTATTGTCTTTTGTATATAAAATGTTTAGTCACCAGTACTATGTTGAATAGAAATGTGAGAGTGGGCATCATTGTCTTGTTCTAGTTCTCAAAGGGAATGCTTTCAATTTTTCCCCATTCATTATTATGTTGTCTGTGGGTTTGTCACAGATGCTTTTTGTTACATTAAGGTATGTCCCTTCTATGCTAATTTTACTGAGGGTTTTAATCATAAAGGGATGCTGAATTTTGTCAAATGCTTTTTCTGCATCTATTGAGATGATCAGGTGATTTGTGCTTTTAATTCTGTTCATGTGGTGTATCATGTTTATTGACTTGCATATGTTAAACCACCCCAGAATACCTGGTATGAAACCCACTTGATCATGGTAGATTATCTTTTTGATATGCTGTTGGATTCAGTTAGCTAGTATTTTGTTAAGGAATTCTGCATTTCTATTCATCAGGGATATTGGTCTGTAGTTTTCTTTTTTTGTCATGTCCTTTTCTGATTTTGGTATTAGGGTGATACTGGCATCATAGAATGATTTAGGAAGAATTTCTTCTTTCTCTATCTTGTGGAATAGTATCAATAGGATTGGTAACAATTCTTTCCTGAATGTCTGATACAATTCATCTGTGAATCCATCTGGTCCTGGACTTTTTTGTTGCTGTTGGCAATGTTTTTTATTACCATTTCAATTTAACTGCTTGTTATTGGTCTGTTCAGAGTTTCTATTTCTTCCTGATTTAATCTAAGGGAGTTGTATATTTCCAGGAATTTATCCATCTCCTCCAGGTTTTCTAGTTTATGCATATGAAGGTTTTCATAGTAGCCTTGAAAGATCTTTTGTATTTCTGTGTTATTGGTTGTAATATCTCCCAGTTTGTTTCTAATTGAGCTACTTGGATCTTATCTCTTCATTTCTTGGTTCAAGCCAGAGCAATCCAACAAGAGAAAGAACTAAAGGACATCCAAATCGGTAAAAAGAAATTCAAACTGTCTCTGCTGATTATATGATCATATACCTAGAAAACCCCAAAGAACCTGCCAAAAAGCTCCTAGTCCTGATAAAGGAATTTAGCAAAGTTTCAGGATACAAAATCAATGTACACAAATCAGTAGCACTGCTATACACCAATAGTGACCAAGCTGAGAATGAAATCAAGAACTCAACCTCTTTTGTAGTAGCTGCAAAAATAAAATAAAATACTTAGGAATATACCTAACCAAGGAGGTGAAAGACCTCTACAAGGAAAACTACAAAACACTGGTGAAAGGAATCACAGATGACACCAACAAATGGAAACACATCCATGCTCATGGATGAGTAGAATCAATATTGCCAAAATAACCATACTGCAAAAAGCAATATACAAATTCAATGCAATTCCTATCAAAATACTGGCATCATTCTTCACAAAACTAGAAAAAACGATCCTAAAATTCATATGGGACTAAAAAAGAGCCCACATAGCAAAAGCAAGACTAAGCAAAAAGAACGAATCTGGAGGCATCACATTACCTGACTTCAAACTATACTATAAGGCCATAGTCATCAAAACAGCATAGTACTTGTATAAAAATAGGCATATAGACCAATGGAACAGAATAGAGAACTCAGAAATAAAGCCAAATACTTACAGCCAACTGATCTTCAACAAAGCAAATAAAACAAAAACATAAAGTGGGGAAAGGACACCTTATTCAACAAATGGTGTTGGGATAATTGGCAAGCCACACGTAGGAGAATGAAACTGGATCTTCATTTCTCACCTTACACAAAAATAAACTCAAGATGGAAGAAAAACTTAAACCTAAGACCTGAAATCAAAAAAATTCAAGAAGATAGCATCAGAAAAACCCTTCTAGTCATTGATTTAGGCAAAGTTATCATGACCAAGAACCCAAAAGCAAATGCAACAAAAACAAAGATAAATAGATGAGACTTAATTAAACTAGAAAGCTATTTGATCCCATAATCCCATTACTGGGTATCTACCCAGAGGAAAAGAAGTCATTATACAAAAAAAGATGCTTGCACATGGATGTTTACAGCAGCACAATTCACAAGTGCAAAAAGAAGGAACCAGCCCAAATGTCCATCAATCCACGAGTGGATAAATTGTGAGATATATATACACACACACACCATAGGATATATATATATATGATATATATATCATATATATACACCATAGGAGATATATATATATATATATATATGCTATATATATCTTATATATATACCATAGGAGATATATATATATATATATATATATACACACACACACACACACACACACATATATATACACACCATAGGAATACTACTCAGCCATAAAAAGGAACAAAATAATGCCATTTGCAGCAACTTGGATGGAATTGGAGACAATTATTCTAAGTAAAGTAACTCAGAAATGGAAAATCAAACATTGTATCTTCTCACTCATAAGCGGGAGCTAAGCTATGAGGATGCAAAGACATAATAAGAATGATACAATGGGCTTTGGAGACTCAGAGGAAAGAGTGGGAAGTGGGTGAGGAGTAAAAGACTACACATTGGGTACAGTGTATACTGCTCAGGTGATGGGTGCACCAAAATCTCATAAATCACCACTAAACAACTGATTTATGTAAGCAAACACCACCTGTTCCCCCCAAAACTATTGAAATTTTAAAAAAGGAATAAGAAGGCTGGAAAAGAGAGGGGGGATGTTATTTTTGGAAACGTGAAGGGGATTGCTATTTTGCAATGGTGGTCAGGGAAGACTCACTGAAAAATGACTTTTAGTAGACAACTTAGTGACAAAGATGGAAAAAAAAATGTGATTAAGTGAGCCCTGTTGGTACTTAGGGTACAAGTATTCCAGACAGTGCGAATCACAAGGGCAAAGGCCCTGAGGCTGAATTTGCCTGGGGTGTTAGAGAAATAAGTGTTCCACTGTAGGAAAGCTTACAGAGGGGTTAGTGGGACAGGAGCAATCACGAAGAACCTTTTGTTATTGAAAATGTTTTGACTTTTATTCTGAGAAAATATAAGCATTTAATCAGAGTAGTTGAAATGACTTGTCTTCCATTTCAAAAGTACCATCCTGACTGCTCTGTTGGGAACAGACTATAAGGGGCAAGATCAGAAGCTGGGAGACTAGATAGTAGGTGAGAGCAATGATCCAGGGGATAAGTAACAGTAACCTGGCCCAGGCTGCCTGTGGTGAGAAGGGTGAGAAGTAGCTAGACTCTGGATACACTGGCAATGCCTCACTTTATTGTGCTCTGCTATATTGCACATCACAGATAATGGGTGTTTCACAAATTGAAGGTTTGTGGCAACCTTGCATCAAGTAAGTCTATCAGCATTATTTTTTTCCAAAAGCATGTGCTCACTTTATGTCTCTGTGTCACATTTTGGTAATTCTTGCCTTATTTCAAGTTTTGTCATTATTATTATATCTATTATGGTGATCTGTGATCATAATCTTTCATGTTACTGCTGTTAATTGTTTTTGGCCACCACAAACCACACTCATATAAGACAATGAACTTAATTAATAAATGTTGTATAAGTTCTGACTGTTAAAAAATAAATAAATAAAATATTTAGTTCCCAACTGTATTAATCTATTTTCATGCTGCTGATAAAGGCATACCTGAGACTGGGAAGAAAAAGAGGTTTAATTGGACTCACAGTTCCACATGGCTGGGGAGGCCTCAGAATCATGGTGGCAGGTGAAAGGCACGTCTTACATAGCAAGATAAAATGAGGGAGATGCAAAAATGGAAAGCCCTGATAAAACCATCAGATCTCATGAGACTTATTCACTACCATGAGAACAGTATGGGGGAAACCACCCCCTTGATTCAAATTATCTCCCACCAGGTCCCTCCCACAAAACGTGGGAATTATGAGAGTACAATCCAATATGAAATTTGGGTGGGGACATAGCCAAACCGTATCACCAACAGAGGAAACACAGGAAATCCTAACAGCTCTCTTATCATACAGTGATTTCAATTCAATTATCATTTCACTTGAATCCCAAAATATTATCCCCCCCACTTAGTGCACTTCATATGTGAAGGAAAAACATGAATAATTACCAAAACATAATTCAATCCCTTTTTCTAAATCCCTTCAAAACAGAATAATTACCAAAACATAATTCAATCCCTTTTTAAAAATAAGGTTATGAGGATAGTTATCATAATTTCTTCTTCCAGTAACAATTCCAATTTCCTGTTGCCTTCTTCCAGAGCCTTAGGACGGTAAGTTTTTACTTGACAAAATGACCCAAACTTTCTTTTTTTTTTTTTGAGACGGAGTCTCACTCTGTTGCCCAGGCTGGAGTGCAATGGCAATATCGGCTCACTGCAAGCTCCGCCTCCTGGGTTCACGCCATTCTCCTGCCTCAGCCTCCCAAGTAGCTGGGGCTACAGGCGCCCGCCACGGTGCCTGGCTAGTTATTTATTTATTTATTTTTGTATTTTTAGTAGAGACAGGGTTAAACCGTGTTAGCCAGGATGGTCTCGATCTCCTGACCTCGTGATCCACCTGCCTCGGCCTCCCAAAGTGCAGCCTCCCAAAGTGCTGGGATTACAGGCATGAGCCACCGCGCCTGGCCCCAAACTTTCATTTTTATGTGATCTGAGTTCTTGGTTCTTTTCATTTTAATGGATTACTACGGCTTTCTGCTGACCAGGACTATTAGAAAATGGAGTATTAAGTGGTGCCCCAGTGACTCACCCTGAATTCTTGATACAAAATTCCTTGTAGTTATTGTGTAGCAACAGTTAGGATCAATTACCTTGGCCAGTAAAGTAATCGTCTTTTCTTCTTGAGGGTTCAATGGCACGAGAAACATAAAATGTCCAGGAAGGGGAATGACATATTCTAATTTAATGTAACCATTACTTCATTTAGTAGTTAAGCATTTCTCCTTTGGGCACCAGGATCACAAAAATTAGCAGAAGCAGGGAATTAAAAATCTTTAAATATGATATTTGGTATAACCATAGCACTTTATGAACCTACAGATTTTGGCTATGGAGAAGATGACACTCATATACTGGCCAGTTCTTTGAGACTTATATTGCATCCTGTATATAAACTATTCAATTTCAAATAGGTTTTTTTTTTTTTTTTTCCCACCTGGCACCATGTTTTATCAGGCTATCCTATTGTTTTATCACGCCAGCTACTTGGGACTGATTGTGTACTTTATAAGACTACTACCAGCCTGCCCAACATGGAGAAACTCCATCTCTACTAAAAATACAAAATTAGCTGGGCGTGGTGGCACATGCTTGTAATCCCAGCTATTCGGGAGGCTGAGGCAGGAGAATCACTTGAACCTGGGAAGCGGAGGTTGCAGTGAGCCGAGATCGCGCCATCGCACTGCAGAGCAACAAGAGCAAAAACTCCGTCTCAAAAAAAATAAAATAAAAAAATAAAAGACTACTGAATTCTCTAGGCACACACCTATTGCTATGATATGAGTGTCTTAATGAGAGAAAATAGTGTATAAATTACATATTAATAAGTGAGTCACTTTCTTTTTTCAGGTTTTTTTTTTTTAATTTTGTTTTTATTTTCATTTTTATGTTCGAAACAAGGAGTACATGTGCAGGTTTGTTATATGGGAATGTTACATGATTCCGAGGTTTGGAGTATGGATCTTGTCACCCAGATAGTGAGCATAGCACCTGATAGGTAGTTTTCTAACTCATCCTCCCCACCAGCCTCCCACACATAAACTTTGCAGCAGCATGGATGTAGCTAGCGGCCATAATCTTAAGTGAATTAACACAGGAACAGAAAACCAAATACCTCAAGTTTAGCTTGAGTTTAGCATATTATGTCCGTATGTGCTCAATGTTTAGCTCCCATGTACCTCAGTGTTAAGTGGGAGCTAAACACTGAGCACACATGGACACAATATGAGAATAATAGACACTGTGGGCTACTAAAGGAATGAGTCACTTTCTAAGTCAACAAATGATGCTAGCAGAAGAACTGTGGAAGAAGAAAAGTTATATCTTTAAAATGTACCATTTTTTTTTTTGGAGAATAAATTGCTTCATCTTGATTATGTTGGAAGAGGTCCAATGTAATCTACTTGCCACCTAATGTTTTGTAGACCCCATCTAGGGGAAGTTTGCCTCTGCTCTGGGCTTAGATTTGATATCTTCTGTTGGTAACCTCAGAATTAGAGAATAACAAAATCAGGTTTAGTGAGAAAAAGTCATTTTTTTCTCATTCACTGCATAATATCAAGACAATACATTCTCTCCAGAACATACTATGAAAGAAAGCAGACTTGCCTTACCCTGTGAGAAACTTAAACCATGCATATATATGCAGACATTGCATGTCTATGCAAAAACAAACTGATTCTGCTTTTGTTTGTTTTGACTGAAAGTATATGTTGGATTAATAATGCATGCCAGGTGTTAGGTACGGTATCATTCTGCTCTAACAATAGTATCATGTGTAGAAATGCAGCAGCAATTGGTATCTTACCTGAAAAAAATTTGCACAAAACCAGGGTTATTCTGGCTTTGACACTGGCCAAACAAATGAGTTTAAGTAAGAATATTTTAGGAAACACCAACCCTATATCTTTTACATATTTTATGCTCCAATTCCTGCAGTTCTCTGAGGAATATAATATTATTTTTGGTTTACTGTCTTGGGGAAAGGGCAGTAAAACAGCTCTAAGGGTTTGTTTGGGTTTTTTTTCTTTAAGTTTTGGGATACATGTGCAGAACATGGAGATTTGTTACATAGGTATATGTGTGTCATGGTGGTTTGTTGCACCTATCAGCCCGTCACCTAGGTTTTAAGCCCTGTATGCACCACATGCATTAGCTATTTGTCCTGATACTCTCCCTCCCCTCACACAGTCCCCACCATAGGCCCCAGTGTGTGTTGTTTCCTTCCCTGTGTCCATGTGTTGTCATTGTTCAACTCCCACTTATGAGTGAGAACATGTGGTATTTGGTTTTCTGTTGCTGTGTTAGTTTTCTGAGGATGATGGCTTCCAGCTTCATCCATGCCTCTGTAAAGGACATGGTCTCATTCCTTTTTATGGCTGCATAGTATTCCATAGTGTATAGGTACCACATTTTCTTTATCCAGTATATCATTGATGGGCATTTGGATTGGTTCCATGTCTTTGCTATTGTGAATAGAGCTTTAAGAGTTTTTACTTGGCTATTTGTACCAAAATAGGTCCACTACACAGAACAAGGAATTGATGTGAAGATTCTCAATTAATAATATTTATCACTACTATACATTTGGATGCTGGGAAAATAACCGCAAAATGATAATATACTACCACAGTAAACTCTGTGAGATAGAACCAGGCCACAATCCTTATTTCATCAACTTTACATCTCCAGATTCAAAATATAAGAAGGATAAAATAGCTTCATTTAGTACATACTGTATCTAAAATCTTCTGAAACATTAAGGCATTTCCTACACATTAGTACACAGATACTGTAGGAAACAACCAAACATCACTTGAAAAGGCTTGGAGAAAAGGAACAGCTTTGTGGACATGTGACCTGTGTAGTAAGTCAGGGCCCTAAGCTCAGAAGCATCCTGTAACTAATGTTCTGCTATTGCCATCTTGAAATGTTAGTAATTTTATTTTTGCACTTGTATTTTGTGTGTGACATCTGATGAAACAATAGAATATGCATGTGAAGAAAAGTGACGCCAAATAGGCATGCCCATCACTGTTCCATCTTCATGTAGTTTTTGCAATGTCAATAAGCACAGAACTCTGGTAGAAACATTATGCATGAGAGTTTAATGAGATTTAAAGTCAGTACCAAGTAAGTCTGCTATTGCTGCAATGGAAAAAGTGGGCTAATTAACAACCCACTATGATCTCCTTTGAAAGAGGACTTGCTTCAAATGCAGAAAAAAAAACAGTGGAGGTGTAAAAAACAAAAATAATCAAGAAACCCTATCATTCTTTCTCACTCAAGTTACTATCCTGTATTAACCAACCATTCATACTGAAAATATTGACACAGAAGGAGAAAGATAAGGCAACCATATTTTCTTTTTCTTTCAGACCTTTTCCACTCATCAGTAAGCCAAAGGTAGAGAGAGTTGGTAGATTGTGCCCCTATCAGGAAGTGAAATAAAAACAAGTTAGTTTCATGCAACATTTCTACTCCTGTGGTCATAGCACAATACACATTCACATACAAGATTCAAAAATTTAACTCTAAATTGTGTGATTCTGCAAATGAGTTCAATGTCTTCTATTTGTATTTAAATTTAGCATTCAAAAACATAAAGGTCAACATTAAAATTTATGTGCTAATAATTTTATTTTATTTTATTATTTTTAAACCTAGAATGGAATTAATTAAATGGCAAATAAAAACCCCATGACAAGTTGAGAGAGATACTTTGTAAGAAAATACTTTATATTTTAGTACTTTTAAAGACACTTTTTTCTTGCTTTTTGAACAAGGGGATCCACATCTTATTTTGCTCTGGGGCCAAAAGAGAAATTCCATCTTTCTTATTGAAACCAGAAAACCAAATTCTACTGTAACCTTCCCATGCCATTATCTTCTCCAGCCTACTGAAGAGCTTTGGAAGAAATCAGTGTTCTCTCTTTTCATAATGCATCTTTTATGGGCTTTGTGAATAATACGTAGTGATGTATCACTAAATGACAGAATACTTTCTGAGAAACACAGTGTAAGGTGATTTCATTGTTGTGCAAACATCCTAGAGTGTACTTACACAAACCTATTTTGCATGCCCCCTTGCTCCTATACAAATCTGTATAGCATGTTATTGTGTTGTATGCAATTGTAACAGAATGATAATAGTGTACCTAAATATAGAAAAGGTACAGTAAAAATAGGATATTATAATCTTCTGTGCCCACTGTCATATATGTAATCCATCCTTCACTGAAATGTTATGTGCCACAAGATTGTAGTTGGGAATTATCTAATTAGATTGCACACAATAATAAATTCCGTCATTACCAACTCCCTGGTCTTTGGATCACTTCAGCAACATGTTCAAAAAATTTGGACATTGAAACCCCATTGACTGTATGTCATCATGTCATTCGTGAGTCAAGGCTTCTATTAACACTTATTATTATCAAACCAACATGTTCAAACATGACATCCATATTAATAAATTTAGCCTACCCAAGTTAATGATTCAGTTTTTCTTGTTCTGTAACTTTTGAAATCCACACATATGCTCTTCACATTGCTGTTACTACAAACTGGCAACCTGTTCCTATCTAAGCTAACTTGTTCCCAAGTAGAATTGTCCTAGAACCACTATTTCAAGATCTCTCTCTTCCTATAGAATCCAGAAGAATGGTGGTGGGAATCAGAGAGGGGAATCCCAAGGATAATGGCATCTCACTGTGAAGCAAATGGTAGTTATCAAAGGCTTTTTTGCAGAGAAAGACTGACTGACCCCTTCATTGGGAAGGGATCCTGATACTGCCAGCAAAAAGCCTCCAGGAGGATTTATGGGTTCAATTATATATTTCGCTTCAGTTTGCCCAAATGTACTCACCCCATGTCTCAGGCTTTCACTCCTTCCTCAAGTCTTTCCATAACTTATTATAATAAATCTACACATAATATAGAGTTATTTAGTGTGCTGCTACTCAATCTTTAGAATCAGGCTCTAGGTAAGCTTGATTCTGAATTTTCTCCGTTTCGACCATAGAAAAGAGATTTTATCAAAGCTGATATAGAGGCTTTCTGATTTTGTACCAGTGTGATTGTGCCTCGAAGGCCTATATTTTGACCTTTTACTTTCAAGAACTCTCAAAATTAGCCTCATAAGCCACTATCTTTGTCATCACCAACTATGATGCCATGTTACATCATAGATTACTAGTTCTCATCTCCCTTTAAAGTAACTTAACTATTCACTCCACAAATATGTTAAAAACTGAGTCTCAGAATTTCATCTGGAAAGTCTGGCAACTCCTAGTACCAGTAAAATTTTGAGAATGAAAGAGATAGCCACTCTGTATCAATTATACACATACTGTATAAATTAAAGGCTGGTAAAAAAGACAAATAGAATAAAACATTTGAGTATTTCAAAAGAAAAATGAAAAAGTTAAATAAATGTATAAGAACAGATGAAACAATAGAAAACAATTATTAAAATGATAAAATTAAAGTACAAATTTCAGCAATTACAAGTTGAGTATCCCTTATCTGAAATGCATAAGTGATTCAGATTTTGCTTTTTTTATTTTGGAATATTTGCATTATATATTTACCAGTTGAGCATCTATAATCTTAAAACTTGAATCCAAATGCTTATTGGAGCACTATGTCATGTTGGTGCTCAAAAAGCTTTGGATTTTGGAGCATTTTGGATTTCAAATCTTTGGATTAGGGATATTCAACCTGTATCTACAAGTAAGTGGATAGTTCACGTAAAAGTCAAAATTGCCTGCTCATGTCAATTGTCTACTTTTAAATGAGTTATTGGTCTTTTGCTTGTTTTATTATTTAAGTTCTTTATAGATTCTGGATAGTAGACCTTTGCTGGTTGCATAGTTTGCAAATATGTTCTTCAATTCTATAAGTTGTCTGTTTACTCTGTTGATAGTTTCTTTTGCTTTGCAAAAGCTCTCTAGTTTAATTATGTCTCACTGGTCAATTTTTATTTTCCTTGCAATTGCTTTTGAGGACTTAGTCATAAATTCTTTCTTAAGGCTGAAGTCCAAAACGGTGATTCCTAAGTTTTCTTCTAGGATTCTTAATGTCTGAGGTCTTACTTTTAAATATTTAATTAATATTAAATAAATAATTAATTTCACTATATATACAAATTGAGTTAATTTGTATATATAGTGAAAGGTAGGAGTTCAGTTTTATTCTTCTGCCTATGGCTAGCCAGCTATTACAGCACCATTTATTGAGTAGACAGTCCTTTCCCCACTGCTTATTTTGGTCAACTTCATGCAAGATCAGATAGTTGTAGGTATGCGACTTTATGTCTGCGTTCTCTATTGTGTTCCATTGGTCTGGGTGTCTGTTTTTGTACCAGAACCATGCTGTTTTGATTACTGTATTCTTACCATATAGTTTGATGTCAGTTAATGTGATGCTTCCAGGTTTGTTCTTTTTGCTTAGAATTACTTTGGGAATTTGGGCTCTTCTTTGGTTGCATATGAATTTTAGAATAGTTTTTTTAAATTTTGTGAAAAACGACAGTGGTGATTTGATATGAATAGCACTCTGGAAGGAAGACATACAAGTGGCCTACAGTCGTATGAAAAAATACTCAACATCACTAATCATCAGAGAAATGCAAATCAAAACTACAACGAGGTACCATCTCACACAAGTCAGAATGGCTATTATTAAAATGTCAAAAAACTACAGATGCTGGTAAAGCTGCAGAGAGAAGGGAATGCTTATACACTGTTGGTGGAAAGTAAATTAGGTCAGCCACTGTGGAAAGCAATTTAGAGATTTCTCAAAGAACTTAAAAGAGCTACCATTTGACCCAGCAATTGTATTACTGGATATATATCCAAAAGAAAATTAATTGTTCTACCAATAAGACACATGCACTTGTACGTTTATCACAACATTTTTCACAATAACAAAGACATGGAATCAACCTAGGTGCTCATCAACAGTGTATTGGATAAAGAAAATGTTGTACATATATATGATGGAATACTATGCAACTATGAAAATTGAAATCATGGACTTTGCAGCAACATGGATGCAGCGACAGGCCATTTTCTTAAGTGAATTAACATAGGAACAGAAAACCAAATACCATCAGTTTCTCACTTATAAGTCAGGGCCTAACATTGGGTACCCAATGGCATAAAGATAGCCACAACAGAAAATGGGGAATATTGGGGAGGAAAGTGGGGACCAAAGGTTGAAAAACAAACTTTCAGGAATTATGCTTGCTACCTGGGTGACAGGATCATCTGTATTCCAAAACTCAGCATTTCACAAGATACTCATATAACAAACCTGCATATGCACCCCTTGAATCTAAAAATTGAAATTATTAAAAAAAGAAAAAAAGTCAAAATTGTACAAAATTAACAACAAAAAGATGACTTCAAATAGTGAGCCATAATAGTTTATCTTAACTTTATACTCTCTACTTTTCTAAAATTATTTTTACTAAAATATTTCATATTGACAAATTCAACTTCTATTCAGATATTCATAAGTTCCATGAATTCCAAAGTATATTCCTAAGTATATATTTAAAAACTTTTAAATTATCATGCTTTATTACAAAATACTTTTGATTAAATTTTTACTTTTCTCTAAGTATATATATATAAAAGTAGATAATTTACTATAGTAACCATGTAGCAGAAAATATGAAGAAAAACCTTAATCAAAGTGGACAAAGAAGTCAGTTTACATTATTGAAATTTTTTATGCTGTTAGAAATGCTAAATGGTGAAAGCAATCTGAGGTATAATCATAATATTTAAAATAATGGTAATTACCATTATGTTCTAAAAGAACTTCAAATAGAGCTTTATACAAAATGATTAGAAACATGTTTTGTAATAAAAAGTAAGTGCATGGAAATAATGTAATGAAATGAAGAATAAGTGATTTTCATACAGAAAATAATATATGAATTATTTTGTAAAGTTATTGTTAACTAAATGATATTGTTGATACCTTAAAAATGTTAGAGGTCTGCTGTTAGAAGGTTCTTTGATCATAGGGCAAGAAACAGAAATTATAGAGAAAAGTTATTTCTACATACACTATGTATTTTTCACAAGAATTTTCCAAGGAAAAAATGAAAACAACTATACATTTCTTAAATATTAAGTAATTTATAATTAGGTAATTACATCAGGGACGTTTTCTAATTTGTTCATCAGGAAACAGAACTATTCTATGATGAATATGTAAGCAAAAGTTAGAAAGCTATGTAACCTTTGGGGAACATGAGTTACAGAAACAGAACTTTAATTGCTCTTCTAAATTGTCTTATACATGAGATCTAATATATAATTATCACTTAAAGTAAGAAAGAAAAAATATAGATCCAAGAGAGAAATTACAAATATGTAATAATTAAATTTCATACAATGAAGTTTTCATATGTATTCTTATATGTATCTCAGGATAAGGCTGCTGAGTCTATTTCACTTTCTTTTCTCTGTATATTAGACAATTTTTTTTCACTGAGGTGAGCCATATTTCTTTCACCATGCAGTTAGGAACAGAACTATATTAATAACTCACAACTGTAGAAAACAATGAAAGTCTCAGAGACTGATAGGTTACACAATTCCACTTCCTTGTGCACCAAGTACCCTCTGGTTTGAATGTCGTTAACATAGGTTTTAGCATAAAAGTTCTGGGGCTCACTTTGATTACGTCTTCTAATGAATGCTCCCCTCATATTCGCTTTCCAATCCCAAGTGCATCCATAATTTGTCACTTGATTGTTGAATCTCCTGGGATCTTTCAGCCTCTTAATATGAAAGGACTGTCTACTCCATCTCTGTCATCTTCCTTTTGTCCTACTTCTTCCCAAACACAAATGTATTTGGCACAACTGTTCTAATTATTGTGTCAAAAAATTTGCTTAAATCATCTCTTTAAATCATCGTAACAGCCATATGAGTTAGGGACTTTTAACATGCTAATTCTACAAAGAAAAAACATGAGATGTATAAAGAACCTAAAGAATTTACCCAAATAACAGGAAACTGTGAAATAGATCTACGTGACACAAAAGTTTAAGATAACATAGGTAAAATTTGTTCATTTTCTCATTAAGCTATTTCTATTTCTTTCATAAAGTAAAATGATTTAACAATTTTCTTCTGCCTCTGTGCATTTATCTATTCAAAATGGTATTCTTTTTTTTTTTTTTTTTTGGTGTTGGCATGACGGAACAGAAGATAAGACCTGTGTTAGTGGGAATCCATTGGGATTTTCAGTTACAGCCTCTTGACATTCCAAACGTTCAAAGGTTACCTTGAACTCTCTCCTATCATAGTGCACGCTGAGTATACTTACTGTTGGCCTCGGCTAATACTGAACTCCAGGGGATTTACAGTGATATTAAAAAATCAAAAACAAAAATGAAAAGAAAACAACAACAACAACAACAAACTTCTGTCCTTATCATTCATCTTTAAAACTGAGTAGGAAAGGATAGTGAGGGAATTAATGCAAACCAAATTGTCCAGTTTTATTAAGAAGTCTCATTAGAAACTAACATACAAAAATTGGCTTTCTCAGTAATCTTAACAGTTAAAGCTTTTGTTTTAAAGATCCTTAATCAATAATTAGCATACTAGAGCTAATAATTGACACTAAGATTATTTAATATGAACCCCTGAAAAGTCAGTAGTCATTGTGTCTAAAGATGTAGAAGTACTTAGAATTCATATTTAATATAAAGCAAATAATTTATTATGGAGAATGAATATTTTTAGTGTAAGAATCAATATTATATACAAATATATAAATGTTTATATATATATATATATTTTTTTTCTTTTCTGGTCACAGCTCCTAAAAAACTCTAGAAGCAACACTACTTTAGTAGCAATATGTACCTCTAGTTGCCAGAATGTGGCTTCTAATTATCATTTACATCTGATTAGTACTAGGGCTATTTGGGGGAATATCTGATTCCAAATTTGAAGTAAGGGGTTACAGTATGAGTCTGAAACATTCTGTTGTACCAGAAAACAAGGAAAAAATGGAGCTGCATCAAAAGGACAAGGAAGCCAGTTTAAAGTTGGGTCTACTGACAAAAGGCGAGTTAAGTTAAATAGCACATAAAAGACTGTTACTAATGAAAACAAGTTTCACGTGTAAAAGTCCATTATTCCAGCATGATATTCAAAATAGCAAAAGCAAAAGAACAAACAGGTAAATAAAATGTTATGTGCCACAATTGTAAGTAACTATAACACCAAATACTTTCTAAAACTACTTAGTTAAAGAGAAGTACTTAAGCATTGACACTGTTCTAGAGGAAGAAATATATAGTCCTAGTTGGTCATAGAAAGATAATTTTAACAAGAGGATGGCATTTAAACTTAGAAAGAATAACAGAATTAGAAAATTACCATATTGTAATTCCCTGTGTAATCACTGATTCGGACAATAACTGATGATAAAACCATTAGCTGAAAGATTGGTAAGATAACATCAATTTATGTTATACTAAAGTAACACTTCATAAATTTCTTGTTGTTTACAATGGATGGAGCCAAACTTCATCATCCTACTCAGTGATCAGTCTTATTATCCCTCAACCAGAATCCTGGCCTTTTCCAACATGAAGGTCATAGCATCACCTGTGAAGTACTTTTGCAAAAATTGTTTAACCTGAATCCATTTAATCTATTAGATATAAAGTCTGGTTACAGTAATTCAGAGGAAGAATGAACCATTAATGTGAGAACAATCAAATCCAGAAGGTGGGGCATTCTAGGAGCTCTTTAAGATATCAATACCATGGATTAAAAAACGAGTAAGTGTGAGTTAGTTTGAAAGGTCTTTGAAGAAGTAAGCCTATGATACAGAGAAGGGTATTATTACAAGACAGACAGACTATGGACTTTAAACAGAAGTGTAGAACCCCTGATCTGTCACTGATGGCCTCTCCAGGATAGTTCTGTGTCTATAAAGAGGAAAGGATTTATATGGTACAGTAGTAAGAATGTCCCACTTTGAAAATTAGACACTCGCTCTGAGTATGTACTGTACAAGGGAAAAGAGAGAGTGACAAATGAAAAAGTAGCACAAGAATGTTGTGGCATGAAAGAAGGTAAGTTAAAAAAAAAAAAGCCCTTCCTTTGACACTGTCCTGCTACAACAAGTTCCTTATGTTATACCCATATATAGTTCAAAACATTCTGGAACATGTCTCCTAAGAACAATGCTTTATTTTTGAATGATTAACAAAATCTTAAATTCAAGCATTTCTCTTAATCTTTAATTGGCTTTACTTTAGTTATCATATAACTAAATATATGCTATAACGAATATATATATACACATACATATATATATACATATATATTTGAATATATGTTGATATGTTATATTTTTAAAAACCTTGACATATGCTCTGAGGTGGGGGTGGGTGGTGCAGAGGGAATGAATTCTAGCATGACACCAAAACTGGTAGTTTCAGATTCAAAACTATTCAGCTTAATGTATTATTTTTGTCAGGAAAAGTTGATGGCTTAGAAAATATCTTTGATTTGTTGTTGTTTTTTATTTCTCTTCTCTATTCTTTAATATTATCTTTTCTCTGTCTGTAACCTGAAGTACTTGATTGTTCCTTAAGGAATCTGACAAACTTATAAAGTAAATATGTAATTATAAGCAGTGTAAAAAGCATAAGATTTTCTAAATTCTCCTAAATTGATTTTTTTTAATGTCAAAGCTGAGGCACTAGCAGTTCTGTAGAGTTTTCAGATTTAAGTGCTAAGAGTCTTGACGTTTTCAGGCTCATGGCAAGTTTTTTATTCATCCATCCTGATAATTATAGGGTGTATAAAAATGTGTATATATTCCTTGTTAGGTCAAAAGATAAACAACCATCTCTTGTTTTATAAATTAATGTTAATGATGGTAGCTTTATCTGACAATATAGATCTTATAGAAGAATATCTATATATGTATATAAAGATTCATTTATATTTATGAAATGAAATTCTATTTTATAACTTGGATATCATTTTGGTTTTAAAACTAGTTGAAAAAATAGAAAGCGACTGCTTTATTGTAATCTCTTATTATATATCATGTATACTGTCAGAATTGAGAAAATCATTATAATTGATGCAAAAATGGTACCTTGTGAGGGATTTGGGGGCTAAGACTGACGGTAAGGAAACCTGAAGCAGATATTTTGTCCTATTTCCCAGGTTTTATCTCATTTAAAGAAAAAAACTTGGTAGATAATATAATAAAGCCCAAGAACTCCTGCCTTTGCAGCCTGACAATGCTAATAGGAGACATAATCTTGTATTTAGTCAAAGAGGAAAGTTTCCTGTTCTCCTCTGGGAAAAGAACTAGGCAGGTTTGCAATGCTGGGTAAGTTTAAGTTTGTGATCTCAATGTGATTTCTGATTTTGAACAATATGTACACTCTGGGATATTGAAATTAAAAACAACTAGTCACTGGAAACAAAATATGAAGTAAAAAGTCAATAAATAATCAATATAAGATGTAAAAATATGTAAGACATAAAACCATGAAAAATAAATGTAAGCCCAGGGTAATAAAGAAGATATTTCAACAAATAAATTTGAGGAGCTAAGGGCTAGATGTTTGAAGTATTGCATTGATTAAAACAAACCGTTCAAGTTAGGATCTTATTGTCTTAGGGAAACGGACATATAAAAGTGTAATTTCAACATAATGTATAAAATATAACAGTACATTTAACGTAAGAATTATAGGAATAACAAGAGAAACACCCAAACATTTCAGAGAGACAGGAGATGAGGAAGGAGCAGATTCTTGGCGGGTAACTAGAAGTGATTGATATTAACAAAGTAAGAGAAGAAAATTCAAAAAGAATCACTGTCACAAAGGTCAGAGGCATCAAAGAATATAACATATTATCTGGAATTATTTGTTACTGAAGAATTATAAATTTAAAAGGGGAGAAATAGTAATAAGAAGGCTTGGGATATGGCTAAGTTTTCCATCTTGATGGTTGTGCCATTGATTCTATAGATTTCTTTGGGGAGTGTAGCCATCTTACTGGTATTAGATCTTCAAATTCATAAATATGCACTGTTCTACCATTTATTTAGGTCTTAAGTTTCTTTCAGCAATGCTTTGTAGTTTTCTGTGTCTTTCACCTCCTTATTTAAATTTCTGTCATTTTTAAATATACTTTAAGTTCTGGGATACATGTGCAGGATGTGCATGTTTGTTACATAGGTATACATTGCCATGATGGTTTGCTGCACCCATCAACCCCTCATCTGGGTTTTTAGCCCCGCATGCATTAGGTATTTGTCCTAATGCTCTCCCTCCCCTTTTCCCCTACCCCCAACAGGCCCCAGTGTGTGATGTTCCCCTCTGTGTCCACGTGTTCTTATTGTTCAACTCCCAATTATGAGTGAGAACATACAGTGTTTGGTTTTCTGTTCCTGTGTTAGTTTGCTGAGGATGATGGTTTCCAGCTTCATCCATGTCCCTGCAAAGGACACGAACTCATTCTTTTTTATGGCAGCATAGTATGCCATGGTATATATTTGCCATATTTTCTCTCTGCAGTCTATCATTGAAGGGCATTTGGGTTGGTTCTAAGTTTTGCTATTGTAAATAGTGCTGCAATAAACATATGTGTGCATGTGTCTTTATAGTAGAATGATTTATAATTCTTTGTGTATAAATCCATTGTACTGGTAACAAAACATATATAGACCAGTGGAACAGAAGAGAGGCCTCAGAAATAACACCACACATCTACAACCATCTCATCTTCAAAAAACCTGACAAAAACAAGCAATGGGGAAAGGATTCCCTATTTAGTAAATGGTGCTGGGAAAACTGGCTAGCCATATGCGGCAAACTGAAACTGGACCCCTTCGTTATACCTTATACAAAAATTAACTCAAGATGGATTAAAGACTTAAATATAAGACCTAAAAGCATAAAAACCCTAGAATAAAGCCTAGGCAATGCCATTCAGGACACAGGCATGGGAACAGACATCATGACTAAAACACCAAAAACAATGGCAACAAAAGCCAAAATTGACAAATAGAATCTAATTAAACTAAAGAGCTTCTGCACAGCAAAAGAAACTATCATCAAAGTGAACAGGCAACCTACAGAATGGGAGAAAATTTTTGAAAGCTATCCATCTGGCAAAGGTCTAATTTCCAGAATCTATAAGGAACTTAAACAAATTTACAAGAAAGAAACCCCATCAAAAAGTGGGCAAAGAATATGAACAGATACTTCTCAAAATAAGACATTTATACCGCCAACAGAAATATGAAAAAATATTCATCATCACTGGTCATTAGAGAAATGTAAATCAAAACCACAATGAGATATCATCTCACACCAGTTAGAATGGCAATCATTAAAAAGTCAGGAAACAACAGATTCTGGAAAGGATGTGGAGAAATAGGAACAGTTTTACACTCTTGGTGGGAATGTTAATTAGTTCAACCATTGTGGAAGACAGTGTGGCAATTCCTCAAGGATATAGAACCAGAAATACCATTTGACCCAGCAATTCCATTACTGGGTATATACCCAAAGGATTAAATTTATTTTTAAGTATTTATTTTTCTGTATGTTTTTGAATGTAAAACATGTTTTCTTAATTTCCTTTTTGGATTATTCATTGCTGGGGCACAGAAACACCATGAAGTTTTATACAGAAGGAGCTTTTTGACATGTATATGCAACGGGCATACCAGTTGGTAATACAAAGCTGGGATTGTGAAAAATAATGTAGAGATAAAGTTGATCTTTTATTTTAGCATTGGTGTAGCTGATGATCTTACAATGTAATGTTGGAGTTACCAAAAGTCTTAGTTAAGGGGTGATGAATTCAGTTTTAAGCCTGGCCAGGTTTAGGTAATTGTGTATATTCAAGGCATATCCAGGTTTTACTTTTGTATACCTAAAGGAAATAAGTAAATTATAAGCTTATAACTTATAGTTGGTATTTAAAATTGTAAAAGGTGGTTTTAATCTACAAGAAGAGCTTTTAAGACAATGATTGTAGACCTTGTGAGATATACATAAAATTTTATATTTTGACCATCTCTTTTGAAATATGTGTATGAAACATATTTTACAAATGATTTTGAGATTCTTTGAGTCATGCTTCATATGTTGATGATCCCTGATAAAGAAACACTTTTTAAAGTAGAGAAGAAGATAGAGGTGAGTGTACCTGAGACAAGCAAAATGTCAGGAATGATCCACAGGGAAAAAATACAAAGGGAATTCCTGAGACTAGAAACTCATGAAGAGAGAAAAACAAACCAAGAGATAGTAGAGAATTTTAATGAGAATAAAATCTTTGCAAAATGTTTAGAAAGGGGAAAAATGAATTTTAAGCACCCATAAATGTTAGCAATTTAAAATCATTAGTTATCTTTTATTTAGCATATTAAGTAAGCATTAAAGATGGGAGCCAGGTTTCAAATGGGTAAGGATAGATTGAGAGTTGAAAAATTGGACTTGGACACATATGCATATCTTTTGAGAAGTTCATATGAGGGAAAGGGGGATCAGGCTACAGCTAGGGAGTCATGAAATCAAGGAATAGAAAAACACTAGCATATACCGTACATTGATTGGAAGGGAAAAGTAAGAACAAAACCTGAAATTTGAATATTTGCCAGAAGTATTGTATAACAGTCATGTATATAACACATGCCAGAGAAGATTATTTAAAAGCATAATATTCAATGAGCATTTATATGTATAAATGTAAATTCAAAATAATGATGCAGAATTGGAAGATAACATCTATTTACGTTAGTTCGCAAAGGTTTTTTCTTTATCCATTCCTAATGTCTTACAGATTTTTCACAGTGGGAACCCAAGAGGGTAAGCATGAATGTTATAAAAATAGAGAAAAAATCAAGTAAAGTAAAAAAACAGAAAAAAATAGTACTTCACTGACATAGGAAAAGCATATGAAAACAATTAAGAAATGATAAAGCAAACAAAAATAAAATTATCCAGAACTTAAGCCCCTTCGTCCATCCCCTCATGGGAGATTTGGCCATCAGTGAATATTACATCTAAGTTGGCATTAGATATATGTGTAACTCATATATGTTGTGCATTACATTTATGTTTACCCCTCCCTCTCAATATTGGGATGTTTCCTCAGTCCTCATGGATAAAGAAGATAATGATAGAAGTTTCTGAGTAAGCAAAAATTTCTAAAATTCAAAGAACAGGTGCAGAGACTGACTTCAATAGCTGCAGGAGGTCTGGTCAAAAACAATTTGATGATGAGTAATTGGGTCAAAGATAATTTGGTCAACATGACTAACTGGTAGAAATTATTTCCAGTCATTGGATTTTCATAGGTTTCTATTTTTAAAATTTCCACTTTTTAGCAAGTTTCTATATTTAAAATAATTTATAAATGTTATAAGAATCCTTTCACTATTGAAGATAAATTATGTCTATTTTCTAATTTAGTCTCAGCAATGTATTAATGTTATGAGATACTTCCAATGAAAATAACTTAAAAACAACTAAATGTCCAAAATTTTACTTATTAGGATATTATCAAATAAAAAGGTTTAAATTACGACCTAATAAATCTTAATAACATTTTACATGACGCAAAGACATTTAGAATAAAATGAAGAAACCCCAGTTAAATAATAGAATTTTTAGGTTATTGAAAAAATATTTTTATCAATTTTCACTAAAAAGAAGAAAACAAAATTAAACTGTATTTATACAAGCAAAGCTTTATAATTCTCTCAGAAGAATTACAGAATATGCCTAGGATATTCTTCAATTTCAACTTTAAAATTTATAAACAAGTAAAAAATGGTTGGAGAAAGTAATATTGGTCAGAATGAAGTTAAAATATTCATCTGGTTTCTACCAGAATCCTGACTATGACTCTGACACCTTTGAAGACCTTTAGGCAACTAGTAGGCAGAATTAAGATTGCTCATTCAGGATTTCTGGCACACACATATTCCTCAGATTTTTGCTAATCTAATTTAACATCTTCATGCAATTCTTAGTGTGGAAATCTTTGGCTTCATATTGAAAGCAATGTCCTGCCTCTGAAACTGTCTTGCCTTACAACTATGGTTTTCCACAAAGTAAGAGAAGTTTGAATCAGCAAGCAAAATGAGTTGGGGAAAAAATTATGCATCTACAACAATCCAGCCAGAAAGATATATGGATTTATTAAATTTGACACCCTGAACAGCAGCTAAACCATTAATCCTTGGACTGTCTACATTTTCAGGTAATGAAAGTTGGATCTTTTACTTTCTCCCCATTCTGAAGGACTAGACCCAAGACAAGATTGGGGAGGTTGTGCTTTAAATGTCTCATAAACGGAGACCTACTATACATCCTAGAAGATAACTTATTTTTCTCTCTCTCGTCCTTGATCTTGCTCTCACTCTCTCTCTCTCTGTCTCTCTCTCAAATTAGATAATACAATATTTATGACTTTTAAGATTCTTGGCTAGGCCACTTAGCTTTATCTTCATTAAAATAAAGCTAACAATGCATTAGCTAAAATAAAGCTAACAAGGCATTTGTCGAGAGGAAAAAGATGCATAGAGCCTTAAGTTTTCTATCATGTGGCTGGGCAGGAGGGAATGGAGTTAGAACTGGTAATTCCTAGTGCTTACTATCATTTTAATCCTCGAATGTTTGTCTTTGCTTCTAATAACCAGTTTCCTTGCTTACTCTCTTTTAGAGTTTTATAAAGAAAAATGCCTAATTTTGTTGTACTTTCCAGATAGGTGAAGTACAAATGATATTCAAAAGGTAATGTAAGACACAAAAATTATCTTAGAAGTTATTCTACTATTTACGTTATCAATTTTGATATGGACTGTATACTAAGACTGATCTTGTATATAATAGATTAAGGGAATCATAAGTTTTCTAGAAAATAGATTGACAAGAGAGTAGCTGATAAGGGAAATAAAGACAATTATTTTATGGAATTTTTTCCTAAGTAAATAACAACTGCTTTTAGGTACTTTCTCAAACACTCAGCTGATAAAAAACTAAAGAATTAGCATAAAAACAGAAAAGCTGATATTGTAATTAACAGTTTTGTGGCTACTAAGCCCTCTCTTACCAGTAAAACACCTATAACATTTAAATTAAAACACAACACCCAAAAACCTCTAAAAATATTGATATTGTCAAATATTTAAAGGATTTTTGAAACAGTACAATAGAATTGCGAGCATCATGAGCAATAGTGTCAGATGTAGTCTGAGTTTAAGTCTCATTTTAGTCACTCACTTGTTCTATGATTTTGAAAAAAACATTTAAACTCCCTGACACACAGTTTTATCAGCTGTCCAATGTAGAGGATCAACAGTAATACCTATACTGTAGGATTATCATAGAGATTAAACAAGAATATGCACAGAAAATACATATCATACAGCCTAAGAGCTATAAGCACTAGCTATTTCTATTATTCCTGGTATTGTTTGGTAACAAGCAGGACATTAATGATCTTGTATATAATAGCCTGAGGGAATCATAGATTTTCTAGAAAATAGAAGGAGGAGAGAGTAGCTGATGAGGGAAACAAAGACAATTATTTTATGGAACTTTTTCCAGAAAATGATTTTAAAAGATAGAGGAAAAGATAATCATTGATTGTCGTGAATCTTGGAAGAGGGTTTTTTGTTGTTATTCCTGCTTTTGTTTTTTTATTTATTTAAAGACAGATGAACTTAAATGAGTGAGAGTTTGAAGACAGTGTGAAAAAAATCAATAAAACCATGGAACAATGAAATGACTTCATTATGTATTTTTCAGAAGGCAATTTTATACCAGTTAAATGATTAATCTTAGAAATGAGTGGAGATGTCTTTGTTATCCTACCAGAAAAGAGAAAAAAAAGTATGGTTGCATATGAGTTAAGTTCATAAGTTTAAAGAAAAATGAAGGATTTCCAACAGCTTCATCTTCTGTGTGAAGCAGTGGTAGTAGTTGCTGTTGTTTGTATAGACTCTCAAATAGTAATTACTGGGCCAAAATGAACACAGGTTTCTAATCCACTTTATACATATGGGCTAAATGATTTTCAGGGGTAAAGTCCTAATTCACACCCTTTAGGAGTGTATCAACGGATATAGCCATTCTTCTATCTCTACAACCAGGCAGAATTCAGCAATCATCAGTTTATCTAGTATGAGTTACTTGTGTGTGAATGTTTTATGTAATAGTGAAGAATGCATATGCATTTTTGCTCTCATTGAGTGTTACGCAGTGCAGGAAAATAGAAGATATACTGGGCACACAATAGGCAATAGATATTCTATCTATCTATCTATCTATCTATCTAGATATACTGTAGTAGTGGTCCCCAGGGACCAGTTTCATGGAAGATGATTTTTCCATGGTCTGGCGGGAGCACAGGGGATGGTTTGAGGATGATTCAAGCACATGACATTTATTGTAAAATTTATATCTATTATTATTACATTGTAACAGATACTGAAATAAATATACAACTCACCATAATATAGAATCAGTGGGAGCCCTGAGCTTGATTTTCTTCAACTAAACGGTTCCATCTGGGGGTGATGGGAGATGGTGACAGGTCATCAGGAATTAGATTCTCATAAGGAATATGCAACTTAGATCCTAACAGGGTTTGCGCTCCTATGAGATGCCATCGCCGATCTGACAGGAGCCAGAGCTCAGGTGGCAATGCAAGGGATGGGGAGCAGTTGTAAATGCAAATGAACCTTGCTTACTTGCCAGCCCACTTACTTCTTGCTGTGTGGCCTGGTTCCTAACCAGGACAGGTACAGGGTTTGGGGGCCCCTGTACTATAGAAATAGATAAAGAGGAGATAGATGAAAGAAAAATGGAGATATATAGATATCTATCTATATTACTAGATAGATGTAAATAGATAGACATAAATCCAGAGTCTATTGACAGCAACAAAGAAAATAAAGTAGGATGGTTTTAATATAGGAGATACACACACACACACACACACACACACACACACACACACATACATACATACTTGAGAATCAATTGAGGATAGAAACTATAAGGGATAGAATTAAAGGATTTGGGAACTGAAAGAGAAAATGTGCTGGAGAAATATTTAGGAGGTAGAAATTGTTACTATTACTTCATTTAAACATATAATTTCTTTGTACCTTTTATCTTTGAACAATCTTCCAAAGCAGTTGCCCAGGTCCTGGGTTGCTATAGGGAATGAAACAGTTATCCTAGAGATATGCATGGTCACCACTGTTTAAATCTCAGGTGAGTCTGCCTCATCATCTACAGCATCAAATCTGTGTCTTCTATGATTCCAATTTCAGCTCTCCTAAATGAGACCAGGGACCAATAGCTAGAGCTCAGAAATCATTTTCTAGTTAAACATGACTCTATTTAAAAATTATGCATAGCCTTGAAACTAAATGATGGATTTAAACTTTCTAAAGGAGTTCCATTTTAATAGTCTATAGAGAGTTCTGAAATTATCTTTACTCAGGTACCTTTGTGGTTTGAGTTCTAAATCTCTAAATTACTAAAACTCAAATTATCTAAAAATATACTTCCAGGTTTTTTATTTTGAGGCTATAAATTTTACCTTGAGCTATACCTCTTCTATATTTTCATTTATTCATATTATCATTTGAATTAGTCTTCATGAAGGCATGGCCATTAGTAAATATTCCTTAAAAATTTAAACAATTCACAAGCGTAAAGTAATTGTGTAGTTGTTTACAAAATTGGTGAACTCTGTAATGTTTGTGAAGTATTTTTCTTCTTTTGATTTTACAAGATCAGAATACAGTTTTAAAACAATTGCTATTTTAGCATTTATAAGTTAAAAATGCCCCAAATGTCCAAGTCTCTCATAAAGAGTACTAATGAACTTCCCAATGAACATATATTTTTTTGATTATAAAATTTGGGATACAGAAGTATAATTGAAAAATTCCAAAAAGTATAATTCTGTATGAAACTTTCTGTTTTGGCTTATTTTGTTTCAAGCAGCAGAATGGCTGCATAATATGGCAGTGTAAATTGGGGCACATGGGAGACAGAACAAGCATGGATGAAAGCAGAGCCAGACAAGGGCAGAAACAATCAGGATCCTCCAGGAGCCCAGTCGATGCAGAGACATGCATTCTTATCTTCAAGTCTTTAGAGATAGCCTCTGGGGATAGGAGTCCCACCAAAATGGAAGGGCAAAGTCAAACCTTAAAGGAATCCACCACAGCCTTAAGTGCAGTTTACTAAAATCTTGGACTCCAGTTTTAACAAATAAATTGGCTTCTCTTCAATCTACATGCTGGGAGATAAGATGTATTTTGATTCCATACGATATATTAGTTCATTTGTCTACGAAATAAATAAACTGGGGAAAGATGTTGAAACACTTTATCACAGGTGGATACATTCTGAAGAGGTTAAATTGGATTCACCTAAAGATAACTCAGAAATTCAAATACTGATTTAGATCAACCCCGCAGCTGCTTAAAATTAAAATAATGGTGATGATAACAACAACAATAATATAATAATTGAATTTGTACTCCCCTAACATGAAACCTCAATTTCTGGGTTGCTCCCTGCTACTATGGGTACAGACAGGAATTACTTCTTTACAACTTCTGAGAGAGAATGGTTTCAGTTATAGTCTTATAATTTAATTAATTTTCCTTCTTTCTGAAGATCCCTTTATTGGAACTGAAGAACACATCTCCTTTATTAAATAAATGCATATCTTTCTTCTACAATATTGTCCTGTCCCAAAACTTCAATTATTTTTGACTTTTTTTTTTTTTTTTTTTTTTTTTTTTTTGAGACAGGGCCTTGGTCTTTTGCCCAGGCTGGGGTGCAGTGGTGCCATTACAGCTCAGTGCAGCATCCAAATCCTGGGCTTAGGCAATCCCCTCCTGCCTCAATCTCCTGAGCAGCTGGGACCAAAGGCATGCACCACCACACTTGGCTATTTTTAATTTTTTTGTTGTTGTTGAAATGGTGTCTCACTATGTTGCACAGGCTAGCATCAAACTCCTGGGTTCAAACGATCCTTCTGCCTCAGACTCCCAAAGTGCTGGGATTACAGGCATGAGCCATGGCACCTGGCCTCATATTTTCTAAAAACAGCTTAGTAAACATGTTAGATAATGAAAGTTCTAAGTATCTTGCTAGCAATAAAGATGTCATTTTATCTTCCTATAATTGCCCAAGCCATGCTGAAATAGGGAAATAGAGGATGAACTCTTCCTTTCTTATTTAGTTTTTTTTACTTTCCAATTTATTTTCCATAAAAGTCAATTTGAGCATGGACTGGTTAGTTTTTTGTTGGATTATTTTTAAAAACGATGTGTCTTTTTGACTAATTAAGTTGCAGTATATGTAATCAGCAAAAAACATCTATATGTTGAATGATGACTATTGTAGACTGTCATAATCAACAGCTGAGGCCAAATTCTGTTTACTGATTGCATGACCCAAATCCTCCAAGATTATTTTACATGTTGGTAAATGAAGATATCCTAACAAAAATATAGTGAATTTAACATAAAATGACAGCCTTGAAATTGAATGATTAGATAAAATAAGTGTTCATTGCTTTAGATATAAAATAAAGAAATAAAGGTTTCTTTTTTTAAAAAGAAAATATAACAGTCAAATTTATTTTGTATACTCTTTAAGTTCCAAAGCATCATTAAGATCAGTGATAAGACTGTTTCTGTGGTTCAATTCACAGATAGCACAGGAATATCCAGTGGCTGGAGGAAAAATGGTTGAAAAAACATTTTTTCCCTTTGAATGGGTGGGTAATGTGGTTCATCTTCTAAATAGTTTCATATATTCAAACAAAAAAATGGGACTCATGGCAAACTGCTATTATTACGAATCTGGTTTATAACGAAATTGGGTGACATTAAGCTCCTGAGGATATTTTAGGTCCATTTTCCGGAAAGGAGATCAACAGATAAATAATGAGGAAGGACCTAAAAAGCAAAACAAATAATGTTTTTGCTACATTTCCTCACTTAGATTATCTATGTTTTTAATAAAGTCTATATTTTATACCATTCCTACTAGTTTCGTTCTCATATGATTTGTAAATATTTGTGATTTTCATCTCAAACCATCAGCCAATATCCTGGTTAAATAAAAAGTGATTACAATTCTAATGATTATGGTTCATTTAGAAAGCTGAAAAGCAGTTTGAAAAAAAAGTTTCAGAAGAAATAAATTTCATAAAAGTCACAGTACCAAAATATCAGTTATGCAAATAGTTTCAGTTTTTATTGTAAATCAATGTTCCTGTTTTTTCTGTTGTATCTGTAACACCTTTCAAATCTTTTGAAATACATCAGGTTGTTAGAAGTTTTTCATAAACTCGTCTCTAAAAGCTTATATATGATTTTCTTAAAATAATAAAAAAATTGTGGAATTCATCAGGTTTACACAAAGAGTTAATACAGAGCTCTGGAATAGAATTTCACAACAATTCCCCATAGCTATCTTCTGCACACCAAACACTTAGGAGACTAGTTACTGTGAGTTTCTAGTTACTCTTCCACAAGTAACTAGTAACTAGTACTGTGAGACTAGTTACTCTTCTATGTCCAAAATGGAAGAATTATATTATAGCTGTGTGAATAAATCTATTGAAACTGAAGTTAAAATACCTTCAGTATTTCAGAAAAGGAATGCCCAGTTAGACTGATGTAGATTTATGAATGAAGGTTATTATTCTCAAATAGAGAAACTTCAAGTAAAATGGATATCTTGTTTTTACTACTGAAAGCACAAATTCTGAGAGCTAGTTCTATGAAAGAATTAAAATTTTTAAAAAGTACAAAAGGAAAAAAGGCAGATATTCAGTACATTAGGTACAAATGAAGAAAACTAATTGAATATAGAGGTATTAAGGTAACATGAAAGGGATAAATGAGGTAATAACTGACTTAAATTACATGCAGTATTTTTAGATTTAAATTTAAAATTCTTATCTGTAGAATTTGCTTGATGAACAAATATTTGTAGATTTCCTTCTTTTAAATGCAGTGTCCTTAACTAATGTTATTTAATTGTATTTCATTTACAATCCAAACTTTAAAAACATCTATCATAACAAAAGCCTGTCTTACCACTTTCATTTTTTTCCAACCAAAAAGAACAACAACAAGGAAAAGCTAGATTTGGATAAAAAGAAAATTGGATATGTTTTCCTCTTGAGTCCAGATCCTTATGAAAAAAATAAGCAAAAGTATATTTTTCAGCAGGATTAATTTTATAAAAAACACTGTTTTATGGTATATAGACAAAAAGCAATATCAAATAGCAAATGGAAGTTTTGAGAGATGGAATCATCACTTTTCCTGTCTTTTTAGTGAATTTTGGCATTTCTAACATGTAAGATCACTGTTTACCAAAACTTAATGAGCTAAAAACCAATTTTATAAAAGGGTACAAAGTTTCAATTATGGAGGACAGATATGTTCTGTAGATCTATGTGTACAACATAGATAATAATATTGTATTGTATACTTGAAATTTTTAGGAGAGTAGATCTTAAATGTTCTCACCAAACCAAAGTAAATGGTAACTATGTGAGGTAATAGATATGTTAATTAACTTTAATTTGATAGTCATTTCACAGTTTAGACATATATCAAAGCATAACATTGAAAGACACATGCATACATATGTTTTTTGCAGCACTATTCACAATAGCAAAGACTTGGAACCAACCCAAATGTCCAACAACGATAGACTGGATTAAGAAAATGTGGCACATATACACCATGGAATACTACGCAGCCATAAAAAATGATGAGTTCATGTCCTTTGTAGGGACATGGATGAAGCTGGAAACCATCATTCTCAGCAAACTATCGCAGGGACAAAAAAAACAAACCCTGCATGTTCTCACTCATAGGTGGGAATTGAACAATGAGAACACATGGACACAGGAAGGGGAACATCACACACTGGGGCCTGTTGTGGGATGGGGGGAGGGGAGAGGGATAGCATTAGGAGATATACCTAATGTTAAATGATGAGTTAATGGGTGCAGCACACCAACATGGCACATGTATAGATATGTAACTAACCTGCACGTTGTGCACATGTACCCTAAAACTTAAAGTATAATTAAAAAATATATATACCTCAAAAAAGAGAAAATAGAAAGTAAAAATGATAAAAGAGATAATTTTATTTAAAAATTGATTACCATGGAATGGAAGCCAGAGCAGTATCGCATAGGTTTCCAAGAGATGTTAGGAGATTATCTTATAATAATTTTAATGTATGCATTTTTAATAATATCATTTTAATCATTATTAAACAGAGTAATAATAAACAGATCATTTATAGGTTAATATATCATTTAGAAATCTTCTAAGTTGCTTTTTCTTTATGGAATATTTTCAAGATGTTTAAAGTCATATGTACTAATATTTTAAAATGCATGCAATTCATCTTATATTAATTTAAATATATATAATATAATAAAAGTACACATGAGTTTGTGGTTTACTTTTGACTAACATTGGAAATAATTAGTATATGATTTATTGTGAGTTGATATGAATATACATGCAGAGAGGTTTGCAAATTTGATTTTTTTTCCTTTTAACATTTTCATGCTTTTTAAAAATCATGCCTGGAGTATGATGATATTTATTTTTTTCCTGAGTTTTTGAGGAAAATCTTCAACCAGTCATTCTGAAAAGAAAAATGTTTTTAGGATTTTCAGCATTACTGTCAATATTCTTTCTATTTGTACTAGTTGCAAATAGGCATGTGTTTCCACAAATCTATATTTTCTATGAGATGTGTTTGAATAGATGTGACTCACAAAGAATTATTCCCTTGGTAAGAAACAGCAGGCTATGTAGATGGAGAAGTGAGCTGCCTGTATGGCAGCTCTTGAGTGGCAATCTGGAAGGACTATCTTCTCAGAGATTCTCTCCATCCAGCTGCCATGATGCTGGTCTGCAACAAGCCATGTGACAACTCAGGTTTTGAACCCTCTGCTCTTTTCCCGTACTCTCATTGGGAGGAGATGGTTGGGACTATAGCACAAAATATAAGAGATGAAGCCTCAGAAATTAGTACCTGAGTGTCTTCCTCCAAAGGGCTCTCATTTCAGAGGAACATTCTTAACACAGAAGGCAGAACTCTGGCAGAAGGTAGGCAAGTGACAAGGAAAATACATTAGATAGTGACAAAGTAGGCAAGTGATGGTAATGACAAGTGACAAGGTAGGCAAGTGAAGATAGCCAAGACAAGGAAAAAGGAAAGGAAATGGGAAAAAATGTTCAATGGAGAAAACAAATGAAATTATAAAGATTGTAAATAAAGGACATAAAAGTGGAAAATATTTAACAGAATAAAGCAATAACTGAATGAAAGACAAGAGAGATAAAAGACATATGAAGTATAGTGAAAAGTGTTAATTAGAAATAAGCATAGATGGCAATTATGTAAAATATAATGAAAAATATGCAGTAGAAATAAATTCGGGTGACAATTATTCATATATTTTGTATAATTTTAGTAAAATACCTTGTTTTTCAATTATTCTGAATTGAAGACAATATTTTCAGTGAAACATGCCATTGTTTTTGTACTAATTTGGAAGATAGTTAATTTGTTTCCTTTAATTTTGAGAATATCTAGCACTTACTAATAGCTTATGGTAGAATAGACAATTTTTATGCTTGATATGTAATCACACATATATTTATGTATGTGTTCATCACAACAGTCCTAGGAAGTAGGCAACACTATTGTCTATACCTTTCAGAGGAGGACACCAAAGCCGTGATGGGATAACTAAATTGCTAGATATCACATAAGTTGCAAGTGTCAAAACCAAAGTTTGCTCTGGCAATCTGGCTTCAGAGATAATGTTCTTAGCATATTGATGCTAAAATAACAGGCTGTCTTTGAAGAACTGGTAATTACTACATACCTATAATTTTCTTATCATTATTTTATTTTTAAATAGTTAACCATTTTTTCACTAGGTTTAAAATTACCAACTGTCTCCACAAATATATATTTTACATTTGCAGATATTGCATGCTTAAAATCAGATAAAAATGTGTAGTCTTTGTTTTAAAAAGCATATCTAAAGCCTAAAGTTTAAGCAATGTTAAATATTAGCATGACTTGAGTTGGAATAAATTGATTTTAAATTGACATTTTAGATTATTTTCTTATGAAAGCCCATTGTTAATAATAATTCCTATTGGCAATGAACTAGATCCTTTTAAAATATTTGTGAAGAATTCTGAATTAACAGTAAACCACATAAGCTGATACTGAATTGTGTATTTTTTTTTCTTTTTCAGCTTTTACCAATTTTGAGTAGATTTTAAGGAAGAGAGAAACAGGTACCCTTTTTTATGGTAACTATGATCTGAAGAAAAATCTTTATCATCATTGTAAGATCTTTAAAAAATAAACCTGTGTTGTGTGTTTAAAATATTTTCTTTTACAAGGGCAAATTTTGAGCCAGTATTTTAAAATAGAGTCTTATTTTCAAAAATCTATAATTAATTTATAACTTTTAATTTTGATGTAATTTCAAAACACAGGGAATTTTGCAAGCATAGTACAAGAAATCCTATTTTCCCTTTACCCAGAGTCATGAATTGTTTACATTTTTCCTCACTTGTTTTAGTATTTTATGAACACACATGCACAAACACACACACACACGTATATAAGCATGTATATATATATATATGTTATATTTTTTCTGAACTTTGTAAGAGAAGGTAGAAATATATGTCTTTCCCTTTAAAAATTTAAATGAATATTCCTAAAAAGGACATTCTTTTACCTAACCACGATATAGTTATCAAAATCAGAAAATTTAACAATGTTATGATACTATTATCTAATCCAGAGTCCATATGGAAATGTCATCAATTTTTGAGCCTTCTATCCAAACCAAAATCACACTTTTTATTAAATTATTATAACTAGTGTCCTTAAATCTGAAACAGTCTCTCAGCCTTTGTATTTCCTGAAAATGACTTTTTTTTTTTTAAGATAACAGGCCAATTGTTTTGTAAAAAATTTTCAGTTATTCTACTGTTTCTTCCCAATTAGAATGAGGTCAAGTATTTTGGGCAATAATACTACTGAAGGGAGACTGTGTCTCTCAGTGAATCTTCTCAGAGGTGTCTGATGTAGGTTCTCTCAATACTAATGATGTTGGTTTAGATCATTCAGATGATCTAAGTATCCTCCAGGTTTCACCATTGTAAACTTACTTTTTTTTTTCAATATTAAGTATTTTCTTGGAAGATACTTTGACACTCTACATATTTCCTGCTCATCATCAAACTTTTTCCCACTAGTATTAGCATCTGTGTGTTTTTTTAATGTTATTTTAGATGCAGGAATTACATGTGCAGCTTTGTTTATGGGAATATTATCTGATGCCAGGGTTTGTGGTAGGGATCCCATCACTCTGGTAGTGAGCATGGTACCAGATAGGTAGTTTTCTTAACCCAGCTCCTCCCTCTGCACTCTAGTAGTCCTCAGTGTCTATAGTTCTCATATTTATTTCCATGTATCATAAATGTCATATTGATACCTCCAATTGCCACTCAACACCAGAGGACACATTCTAGTCTTTGCTCTTTCTGTTTCCAACTCTCTTTACAAACATGGAAAACATAGCTCACACTTTTTTTTTTTTTAGATGGAGTCTCACACTGTCACCAAGTCACCCAGCTGGAGTGCAATGGTACAATCTCGGTTCACTGCAACCTCTGCCTCCTGGGTTCAAGCGGTTCTCCTGCCTCAGTCTCCCGAGTAGCTGGGATTACAGGTGCCCACCACCATCTATCCAGCTAATTTTTTATATTTTTAGTAGAGATGGGGTTTCACTATGTTGGCCAGGCTGGTCTCGAACTCCTGACCTCATGATCCACCCACCTCCGCCTCCCAAAGTGCTGGAATTACAGGCGTCAGCCACCGCTCTGGGCCAGCTCCCACTATTTTTAAAATATTAATTCATTTCCTCAAGTCTAAAATACACTGAAAATGAGGGGCTGTGAAATGCCTGACTAGAGGTACTGGGTACTCATCTCTTGCACAAAGAATAACCAAAACATTGAGGAATCACACTTCAAATAGATCATCTAAGAGAGAACCATGGACTTTAACAGAGAATTGCCAGGAAATGCCTAAAACAAGAAAGGAGAGGGAAGTGAAATAGCCTACTCTTTTGGAATCAGCTGGGAGCCCAGAGAGACTCTCCAGTATAGGGAAAGGAAAATGAGTGATCCACAAAGGTCTACATTCCCACTACAGACACCTGCAATCTTAGCCATGAGAAAGCCCCTCAACCCTGTGGGCCCTGAGACTTACATAGGGAGCTGCCTGGAGAATGTGAAATGACATTGCTCCAGAGAAAGAGGTCACACTGGGTCCCACACAATCCCCAGTTCCTAAGCAGCCACATAAACATGCCATTCTGGGAGCCCAGCCCACACCATACTGCTTCCTGCCTTGAAGCCCAATAGACCCTGCATTTCCACATCCCAGGAGCCTCACATTCCTGCTGCTGCTGGGACCAAAGCATAAACCAATGGCATTGACCCTGCTTCCCCCAAACAGCAGAGCAAACATGCATTGTAAATTCCCTGAGGACAGGCTACCCTGCTTATAACCACCAACTGAGGTTGAAATGCATGCTCCCTGAGCAGTGGCTGCTGCCACTGAAAACAAAACCTCTATCAGAGCTGCAGTGTAGCTACAGAAACCCTGCCTGAGCATTTTGCTGAGGGCCTAGGGATCATTCTGCCCCTGCCTGTCATAGTCAGCTCTGCCATGCACCACTGGAGCCCTGATGACAAGCTTGCCAGGCCCAGCTCAACTCTAGCCCTATGCCTTAGCATTTATTTTTGAAATAGTCCAGTCAAACAAAATTTAAAATAAGAAAATGAACAAAATCTATATGACATACAGGATACCATAAAGCACCCAAATATTTGAATTTAGGGGTCCGAAAAGTCTAAAAGAAAACTAAATGGATATACAGTCTTTTTGACAACATAATAGCTAAAATCCTCCCAATCTAGCAAGATGTTTATACATTCACATACAGGAGGCTAAGAAACCCCCAAATAGACACAATTCAAAGAGGTTTCCTCCCCAGGATATTATAGTCAAACTGTCAAAAGTCAAAGACAACGGGAGAATTCTAAAAACAGCAAGAGAAATATATCCAGTCATTTATAAGGGAACTCTATCAGGTTAACAACAGATTTCTCAGCAGGAAACTTCCAAACCAGGAAAGAATGGGATGATATATTAAAAGAAAAAATATCATACCAACCAAATATACTACATCCAGCACAGTTATCCTTCATAAATGAACAAGATATAAAGTCTTTTCCAGACAAGCAAAAGCTGAGGCCATTCATCACCACTAAACTGGCCCTACGAGAAAGGCTTAAGGGAATTCTACACATGGAAGCAAAAGGATGATATCTAATATCTTGAAAATAGAAAAGTACAAAATCCACTCACAGGGTAAATACACAATTTTTTGAATTGGTGATGAGAAAGGGCTCAAATGTTAAAGAAAACTACCAAACCACAAAGATAAACAATAAGAGAGAAAGAAAGCAAAAAATAATACACAAAACAAACAGAAATCAATTAATAAAATGACAGGGATAAGCTTTTACATATCAGCAATAACTTGAATGTAAATGAAATAAACTTTCCAGTTACAAATTATAGAATGGCTAAATGGAGAAAACAACACATGATTCACCTATATGCTGCCTACAAGAAACTCATCTCACCTATAAAGATACAAACAGATTGAAAGCAAAGGAACATAAAAAGTATTCTATACTAATGGAAACCAAAAGCGAGCAGAGAGTAACTATACTTATATCAAATAAAACAGACATTAAATACAAAATAAAAGAGAGATAATTATAAAATTATCTTTATCACTATAACATAAAGGGATTAATTCAACAAGAGGATATAACAATTCTAAGCATATATGCAATCACACTAGACTACTTAGATATACAAAGCAAATATTGTTAGATATAAAGAGAGAAATAGACTCTAATAGAATAAGTGATGGTGACTTGGATATCACACTCTCAACATTAGGCACATCATGTAGTCAGAAAAATAACAAAGTAATGTTACCAGCTCCTCTTTGTACCTCTGGTAGAATTTGGCTGTGAATCCGTCTGGTCCTGAGCTTTTTTGGGTTGGTAGGCTATTAACTACTGCCTCAATTTCAGAACTTGTTATTGGTCTATTCAGGGATTTGACTTCCTGGTTTAGTCTTGGGAGGGTGTATGTGTCCAGGAATTCATCCATTTCTCCTAGATTTTCTAGTTTATTTGTGTAGAGGTGTTTATATTATTCTTTGATCGTAGTTTGTACTTCTTTGGGATCAGTGGTGATATCCCCTTTATCATTTTTTATTGTATCTATTTGATTATTCTCTCTTCTCTATTAGTCTGGCTAGCAGTCTATTTATTCTGTTAATCTTTTCAAAAAAACAGCTTCTGGATTTATTGATCTTTGAAGAGTTTTTCATCTCTTTGTCTCCTTCAGCTCTGGTCTGATCTTAGGTATTTCTTGTCTTCTGCTAGCTTTTGAATTTGTTTGCTCTTGCTTCTCTAGTTCTTTTATTTGTTATGTTAGGGTGTCAATTTTAGATCTTTCCTACTTTCTCCTGTGGGCATTTAGTGCTATAATTTTCCCCGTATACACTGCTTTAGCTGTGTCCCAGAGATTGTGGCACATTGTGTCTTTGTTTTCATTGGTTTCAAAGAACTTATTTATTTCTGTCCTAATTTCATTATTTACCCAGTAGCCATTCAGGGGTATGTTATTCACTTTCCATGTAGTTGTGAGGTTTTGAGTGAGTTTCTTAATCCTGAGTTCTAATTTGATTGCACTGTGGTTTGAGAGACTGCTATGATTTCCGTTCTTTTGAATATGCTGAGGGGTGTTTTACTTCCAATAATGTGGCTGATTTTAGAATAAGTGCTATGTAGTGTCAAGGAGAATGTATATTCTGTTTCTTTGGGGTGGACAGTTCTGTAGATGTCTATTAGGTCTGCTTGGTCCAGAGCTCAGTTCAAGCCCTGAATATCCTTGTTAATTTTCTGTCCCATTGATCTGTCTAATATTGACAGTGGGGTGTTAAAGTCTCTCACTGTTATTGTGTGGGAGTCTACGTCTCTTGGTAGGTCTCTAAGAACTTGCTTTGTGAATCTGGGTGCTCCTGTATTGGGTTCATATATATTTTGGATAGTTAGCTCTTCTTGTTGCATTTATCCCTTTACCATTATGTAATGCCCTAACTCATTTTATGAGGCCAGCATCATTCTGATATGAAAACACGGCAGAAACACACAAAAAAAGAAAATTTCAGGACAATATCCCTGATGAACATCGATGCAAAAATCCTCCATAAAATACTGGCAAGCCGAACCCAGCAGCACATTAAAAAGCTTATCCACTACGATCAAGTCAGCTTCATCCCTGGGATGCAAGGCTGGTTCAACGTATGCAAATCAATAAATGTAATCCATCACATAAACAGAATCAATGACAAAAACCACATGATTATCTCAATAGATGCAGAAAAGACCTTTGATAAAATTCAACACCCTTTCATGCTAAAAACACTCAATAAGCTAGGTATAGATGGAACATATCTCAAAATAATAAGAGCTGTTTATGACAAACCCACAAGCAATATCATACTGAATAGGCAAAAGCTGGAAGCATTCCCTTTGAAAACCAGCACAAAACACGTATGCCATATCTCACCACTTCTATTCAACATAGTATTGGAAGTTCTGGCCAGGGCAACTAAGCAAAAGAAAGAAATAAAGGGCATTGAAATAGAAAGAGAAGAATCAAATCATCTCTGTTTGCAAACGACATGACTGTATATTTAAAAAAACCCATCGTCTCAGACTAAACACTCCTTAAGCTGATAAGCAATGTCAGCAAAGTCTCAGGATACAAAATCAATGTGCAAAAATCACAAACATTCCTATATAAAAATAATAGACAAACAGAGAGCCAAATCATGTGCGAACTCCCATTCACAATTGCTACAAAGAGAATAAAATGCCTAGGAATACAACTTACAAGTGATGTGAAGGACTTCTTCAAGGAGAACTAGAAATCACTATTCAAGAAAATAAGAGAGGACACAAACAAATGGAAAAACAATCCATGCTCATGGATAGGAAGAATCAATACTGTGAAAACGGCCATACTGCCCAAAGTAATTCATAGATTCAATGCTATTCCCATCAAACTACCACTGACTTTCTTCACAGAATTAGAAAAAAACTACTTTAAATTTTATGTGGAACCAAAAAAAGCCCATATAGCTCAGACAATCCTAAGCAAAAAGAACAAAACTGGAGGCATCATGCTACGTGACTTCAAACTATACTACAAGGCTACAGTAACCAAAACAGCATGGTACTGGTACAAAAAGAGATATATAGAGACCAATGGAACAGAAGAGAGGCCTCAGAAATAATGCTGAGCATCTACAATCATCTGATCTTTGACAAACCTGACAAAAACAAACAATGAAAAAAGGATTCCCTATTTAATAAATGGTGTTGGGAAAACTGGCTAGCCATATGCTGAAAACTGAAACTGGACCCCTTTTTTACACCATATACAAAAATTAACTCAGGATGGATTAAAGATTTAAATGTAAGACCTAAAACCATAAAAACCCTAGAAGGAAATCTAAGCAATACCATTCAGGACATAGGCATGGGCAAACACTTCATTAGTAAAAAACCAAAACCAATTGCAACAAAAGCCAAAATTGACAAATGGGATGTAATTAAACTAAAGCGCTTCTGCACAGCAAAAACAAAAACAAAAACAAAACAAAACAAAACTATCATCAGACTGAACAGGCAACCTACAGAATGGGAGAACATTTTTGCAATCTATCCATCTGACAAAGGGCTAATATCCAGAATCTACACGGAAGTTAAACAAATTTACAAGAAAAAGCAAACAACTCCATCAAAAAGTGGGCAAAGGATATGAACAGACACCTCCCAAAAGAAGACATTTATCCGGCCAACAAACATATATTTTAAAAAGAAGCTTATCATCGCTGGTCATAGAGAAATGCAGATTAAAACTACAATGAGATATCATCTCATGCCAGTTAGAATGGTGATCATTAAAAAATCATGAAACAACAGATGCTGGGAGGATGTGGAGAAATAGGAACACTTTTACACTGTTGCTGGGAGTGTAAATTAGTTCAACCATTGTGGAAGACAGTGTGGCTATTCCTTAAAGATCTAGAAATAGAAATACCATTTGACCCAGCAATCCCATTACTGGGTATATACCCAAAGGATTATAAATCATTCTACTATAAAGACCCATGCACACATATGTTTACTGCAGCGCTATTCACAGCAGCAAAGACCTGGGACCAACTTAAATGCCCATCAATGTTAAATTGGATAAAGAAAATGAGACACAGATACACCATGGAATACTATGCTGCCATAAAAAAGTAGGAGTTCATGTTTTTTGCAGGGACATGGATGAAGCTGGAAACCATCATTCTCAGCAAACTAATACAGGAACAGAAAACCAAACACCACATGTTCTCACTCATATGTGGAAGCTGAACAATGAGAACACATGGACATAGGGAGGAAATATCACACACCAGGACCTGTTGGGGGGTGGGGGGCAAGAGAAGGGATAACATTAAGAGAAATACCTAATGCAGATGATGGGTTGATGGGTGCAGCAAACCACCATGGCACATGTATACCTTTGTAACAAACTTGCACCTTCTGCACATGTATCCCAGAACTTAAGTATAATTTTAAAAAAAGAGAGAGAAAATTAACAAAGAAACATTGGCTTTAAACAGTACTTTAGACAAAATGTACCTAACAGACATATACAGAGCATTTATTATAACAGCTACACAAGGCACATTATTCTCCTCAGCACATGGGACATTATCTAGGAGAACCTATAAATAAATCTACATATTTATAGCCAACTGATTTTTGACAAAGACATCAAGAAGATACCTTGAGAAAAGAAAACCTTCTTCAGTAAGTGGTGCTAGTAAAATTAGATATCCATGTGAAAAAGAATGAAAATGGACCCTCCTTTGTCATCATATAAGAAAATCAACTCAATATGAATTATAATTTTAGAGGGACCAAAATTATAAAACTACCATAAGAGAAATAGGTGAAAGAGTTCAGAACAGTGATCTAGACAAATAATGTATGGCTAAGACCTTAAAAATACAGCCACCCTCCAAAAAATAGATAAATGGTACTATATCAAACTAAAAAGCCTCTGCACAGCAAAGGAAACAATCAGAGAGTAAAGAAACAGCAGGTTAAATTGGAGAAAATATTTGCAAACTATTCATCCAGCAAAGGACTATCATCCAGAACATGCAAGGAACTCAAGCAACTCAATAGCAAAAAAGAAAAGGAATGATCTCATTACAAAGCAGGCAAAGGACATGAATAGACATTTTTTCAAAAGAAGACATACAAATCACCCACAAGGACATGAAAAAACATCATCAACATCAACAGTCATCAGAGAAATGCAAATCAAAAACCACAAGATAGCATCTTATCCCAGTTAGAATGGCAATTATTAAAAAGAAAATAAAAGTGACTAGTAAGAATATGGAGAACAGGTAACTCTTACACACTATTGATGGGAAAGTAAATTAGTACAACCACTATGAAAAATAGTATGGATTTAAAAAAAAATAAAAAAACCAAAAACTAGAACTGCCATATGATCCAGCAATCCCATTACAAGGTATTTATCCAAATGAAAAAAAGTCAGTATATCAAATAGATACCTACATTCCCATTTTTGTTGAAGCCCTATTCATAACAGCAAAGATATAGATCAGTCTAAGTGTTCAGAAATGAATGAATGGTTTAGGAAAATGTGGTATGTATATACATTAGAATACTTTAAAAAAGAATAAAATCATGTCATTTTCAATGCTTGTAACACTAGAGGTCACTATGTTAAATGAAATAAGCCAGGCAGAAAAAGAAAAATATCACATGTTCCCTCTCATATGTGGGAGCTAAGAAAAGTGGATCTCATGAAGTTAGAGAATAGATTGTTGGTTACCAGAGAGTGAACAGGTTACCAGGAAGGGTTAGACAGAAAAAATAAGACATAGCGTTTGATAGATTAGTAGGATGAGTACAATTAACAACAATGTGTTGTATGTTTCAAAATAGCTAGAAGAGAGGACTTAAAATGTCTTCAACACATAGAAATCATAAATTTTCAAGTTGATGGACACTTCAGATACCCTGACATAATCATTACATATTTTACACATGTAACAAAATATCACATGTACCCCATAAATTGGTAGAGATATTATATATTCATAACACAGTAAAATAAATAAAATACACAGAAACAAATTTCAATATTGCTAACGTATAACACTGCACAAAACAAATCTAATTACTATAGATTAATGTCCACCTACAATGGCTTTTAATTCTATATTAGGAACATTTTCATAAATTCAAATGCACAAACTATGTATTTAAAATGAATAATCCATTTATGTGACTAAAGCGTACATTTTTGAATTCTTGATTAATATGCTTCATGTAATAAACTTCCTAATAGTCTTCTACACATAAATATTTCGAAATTTAAAAAATATTGATAAAGCTAACTGAACGAGGATCCTTAAAATGATTTGGTCTTTTTAAATTTATGTCAAATGATACAGAAGGACAATTAAGCTAAGTAATACCACCAACAGACTTTAAAATGTCGGTCTTCATAAGGAGGGTAAAAACATCTAAAATCTAACAATATCATTATTATTTTACACAAAATTTAGGTTTTTTTTTTTTTTTTTTTTTTTTTAGTCAACACTTATTTCCTCCTGAAATAAAACGTAATATTTAACCATTAAGAAAAATTTAGGAAATGTGTAAAAAAATAAAAACTCGAGATCTTAAACTCACTCCTTTCAGTCAGAGATGTGATACTCACTGCTAACATGGAACCTTGTAGCTTACTGGCAAAGAACATGGATGTTTAAGTCAGAACTGGATTCATATTTCAACACAGCTATTTGCTAGCTATGTAATGTTAAGCTTATTACTTAATCTCTATAAGCCATAGTTTTATGACCTACAAAAACTTTCATTATCTTAATCATACAATTGTTTTGACTAAGAAGGAATTTCTGACATATCACAAAGTATATTTTACATATAATAGTGTTCAATAAAATTTCCCCTGAGAAATGTTTAACATATAACAATGAGAAAAACTGCAGAATACTGTATATACAGTAAAATCATTATTTGAAACATGACCTTATGAAACATGATTTTATAATCTATAGCAAACATAAAATATTTGAAACATGATTTTGTGTCATTATTGAGAAATTCAATTATTATTATTATTATTATTATTATTTTTTGAAACGGAGTCTCGCTCTGTCGCCCAGGCTGGAGTGCAGTGGCGCGATCTCGGCTCACTGCAAGCTCCGCCTCCCGGGTTCATGCCATTCTCCTGCCTCAGCCTCCCGAGTAGCTGGGACTACAGGCGCCCGCCACCATGCTTGCCTAATTTTTTTGTATTTTTAGTAGAGACGGGGTTTCCCCATGTTAGCCAGGATGGTCTCGATCTCCTGACCTCGTGATCCGCCCGTCTCGGCCTCCCAAAGTGCTGGGATTACAGGCGTGAGCCACCGCGCCCGGCCGAGAAAGTCAATATTCTAGTAATTCATTGCACATCCCAGAATATTAATTCTTTTATTCTGAAAATATCAAATGAGTGACCATGTGTACTGAGCTTGGTGCAAGGTGAACAATATATGCGGAAAGGACAAAGTTCGTGCCTTCATGAAGCTTACCGCCTAGTGGAGTAGTTACACAACACAAACAAACATGTACTTACAAAATGTGACATACCATATGAAAATAAATAAAACACTAAGTGGATTGGTCGCTCTCTCTCTCTCTTCCAAGCCATCTTTTTCCTTTTTCTTCATCTATCAATATATATCTATCAATATTTTTGGCAGAAGCTAGAAAAAGGCTTTTTTTTTTTTTTTTTTTTTTTTGAGACTCAATCTCACTCTGTCACCCAGGCTGGAGTGCAGTGGCATGATCTCGGCTTACTGCAACCTCCGCCCCTTGGGTTCAAGCAATTCTCCTGCCTCAGCCTCCCTAGTAGCTAGGATTACAGGCACATGATACCACGCCAGGCTAATTTCTACATTTTCAGTAGAGACGTGGTTTTGCCATGTTTGCCAGGCTGGTCTCAAACCCTGACCTCAAGTGATCCACCTGCCTAGGCCTCAGAAAGAGCTGGGATTACAGGTGTGATCCACCGCATCCAGCTGGAAAAGACATTTTCAGTGGCCCATGTTCTTAACTGATACTGAATTCTCAAAAAGCCAACCATGCAAGTGACAAAGGAAAGAACATTCCTGGCAGAAGAAATAATATGTGGAAATGTCCTATTGTAGATCAAAACTTGATTCGAGTCGCTCTCCCTCTTTCTTTTGACTTTATCCAGTTAGAATAATTTCTTTTATTTGCTGAAATTCCAATAGCTCTACTCTGTTAATTCTGAGGTAAGAAACAGTCCTCCAGTTTTGTTATGTAACAATCAACGTCTCATTTCAATAACTGGACATCATACAAAATGTTATTCAAAATAAAAATTAAATTAATGTTATTTTTTCCCCTTTCCCTTGTTCAGGCCACTTCAGATTGGAAGCCCACACCTACTCCAGGCTGTTTTCCAACTGGAAAATGATGTGATGGGGTAATCCTGCTCTCTATCTGTATCTCACCAGCAGAATGCATACTCTATCAGAAAGGTTCTTTGGTGGAATGTATATTCTCTGTCCTGGAGCTCCCCAAGTGCCCACTGTCTCTGACCTCAAAGTCCAGGCCTTTCAATTGGATGACCCAAGACTACCCCACTGTGATTCTTTCTCCTGAGTGATCTACACTTTCTTTTGTGGCAACACTCACTACATCCTGACCCTACCGTCTCTAAGATATGGTGCAGGTGCTTCTGCACTCTTCTGGCTGCCAAACCAGTCAGCCCTTTGCTTGCTTTCTAGATTTCTAAAGGCAGGATTCAGATATAATGCTACAGTTTGTCTAAACCCAATAAATAAACTGTTCTCTCCCCAGGCCTCAGACAAAACAAACATGATTATCTTCCTTCTGTATGTCAGTAAGGTGAGCAACACCATTCTCCCCTGAATGAACACACTAAAATTCCTGGGTGTTGTCCTTGATACTCTGTTTTTCTTTATCCTTCATCATATCTTTAAGTTCAGCCTGTCACAAACATTCAATGACACCATTGATATCTAGTACATGTCAACCTCTTTCTTCCCTGAATGCACACAAAAGCCTCCTAACTTGTCTTTTTCTGTCAGTTCAGTTTTCCTGTCATTTAATACTGTTTCTTCTCTTGCTACTTGAGTTATTTTCCTAAGTGCAAATCTATTGTCATTTCCTTGTATAAAATTTTAATGGCTCTTTATTCCAAAACTAGAGATTGAACCGTTCTCAGTTTTTCTATGTCGTTGTATTTCCTGTCCTGAATAACCCATCCCTCATATTCCCTCTTGCCAATTATGTGGCTCACTCCTTCTCACACTTTAATGTTGATTTAGACTACAGAACTCTGTCTGACCCCTTGCTCTACTCTCAAAGCTCCCCTTTACTTCAGTCTAATTCTCTTATCATGCACTAAAGCCATCATTTATATTTGCTTTCTTTTTATAACTTAATAATCCTTAATAAGTCATCACTTCCTTGACAGGAAGAATCATGTCTTATTTTCATCATGGTATCAAGAGTATACAATACAACTCCTGGCAAACTATTAGTGTTTAACTGATATTTGTGGAATTAATTAATGAGTAGGTGAATAAGTGTAATGGTGGGTAACTCAGTATCTAGATGAAAAACACTGTCTCAAGAGCTTTCTCTTTGCCAAGACTCCAGTCCCAATTCCGAGCCTTTAACACTCTCCGCTTTAATTTGAGGAAAAAATGACTCTGATGGACCAGTTTTGGTCCATTATGTAGTTTCCACTTAATAAATAGAATTAAATAATTTCAATTAAGAAGGCTCATGTGAATACTGACACATTATCAGATACTTAGTTGACTAAAAGTCTTCAAAGGTGCCGTGTCATAGTCAGAGTTCTGGCATTGAGGAGGTTTAAAGAGAGTTCTTATTTACTAAGAGAGTTAGACAGGCAAACCACAGGAGATGGTGCTATCACCTTACATGAAGCTTACATTATACAGAAGGGAGGAAGATACTAGAAGAATAAGTTTTTGAGTTCTATGCAGAAAAATTACATATGGATACAGGAGGGAATTTTATGGAGTGAGAAGTGATAGTCTAAATAAATGGTGAAGGAATCCTTCTCTGAAAATGAGTAAACTATGTGTACATTTGAAGGAAATGCCTCACTGGCAGAGCTATGTACAAAGCAAAGGCTCTGAGGTGCCAGTATATTTAGTATGTTTAAGAAATCACAAAGACAAGCGTGACTGGGACTGAAGGAGGGAGTGAATTAATACAATCCAGAAAACCTAAAATATTTATATTACCTGGCTTTGTTTGAATTCCAATCCCAAATGAATTTGTCAAAGAAATCTGATTTGTCCAACCTTAGTTATTTGACAACTACAGGTTAATCCACTCTACTGAGGAAGGATGAGTCATCATAAATATTTCTTGCAGTGTCTTATCTTTTTAAACAAAGAACAAATTTAAGAGAAGTGTGCTGGGGTTGGGAGGGGAGTGTGTTGATGGTTGTAGAAATCATACCAAGATTGTCTTCTCTGTGAATGTAAAAGGACAGTTCTTTAGGGGAAAATCCCTCAGACTTCTGGACAGGGGCTTAGAACTAGATTATGTGACACTGTATAGAGGAGGCTAAGTATAAGGAAAATCTCATAGATTTACATAATACTGAGACTGGAAAGGAAGTTAGGAATTTTCATGTTCAGTCATATTAAAAATGAAGTAAGGAAATTTCAGAAGCTAAGTGACTTTTTTTCAGGTTGGTATACACAGCTAATTAGTGCCAGCCCACAGACCAAACACGTATCTTTTGATTTCCTATTCAATTTGGCATAGAAAATAATGTGACTTGAGTTCTGAGAAAGCACTTTTCTGGAGAGTCCCTAAGAATACTTCCAGACACAATTAATTAAAATAGAACTAGTGGCAATGTTAAGATAAATCAGAAAATAGCATGAAAAACAGAATAAATTTAATGTACATCAAAGTACGTCATCATGGGAATGGCTCTCAAACCAAACCCTGAAGGAGAATAATGTGGCCTCAAATCATTTCAGAGCCTAGGGCATGAAACTTCCATGAAAAATGCTGTTTGTCTGAATTCTTGTAGTGAAATATAGACATTCATTAAAGTAAAATGTCATAAGGAAAAAGAGAAACCCAGCAAAAATTTTTGTGCAAAATTTTCTCACTGTGGTAACGCAGTTAGAAAAAAATAGAAAAAGCTGTGAGTTTAAGCTCTGGAGTCTGAATTATCTTTATTTGAATCTTTGCTGGGACCTGTCTTAGCTATGTACAACAAGGCAAGTTTTCAATCTCTTTGAATTGCAGTCTCCTCGTTCATTTAAACCAAACAATACAAAAGAAAACAAAAATCTATATTCCACTTAACATCTCCAGTATATTTTGAGTATTACTTATGTAAGGCATATAAATATCTTGCATATTTATTGATATATATTAGATGTATGTAAACTCTTGATTTTCATAATAATCTGTGACATTATTCAACACAGGGACTTTCCAGAGAGATACTTTTGAGTTCTTGATCTAAAGTATTTTTCTTCTATTTTTTCATTATTGTTTCCTAATCATTAAAAGTAATGACAAAAATCATGATTACTTTTGCACTAACCTCATAATAAAATATTTCAAATATTGTTACTGAGAGTGAAATGTAGTGAAAACGTTTGTTGTTCCTATTAATGAACCTTACTAGACTTCCGAGGCACCCAGAAGACTAACACTCTAATAAAGGCTATAGCAAGTAATTGACGAAGAACGGATAAATTGCAGAAGCAGAAATTTCTCAGCTCTAGAGAGGTGGTTCAAAGATTTAATAAACTAATTAAAAAGTCTGAAGAAAAGAGAAACCACTGATGGGTCTTGACGTCTTTAAGTAAAGTAGTAACAAGCACAGTTGTCATGGAGGTAACACAACAGCCAGAATGTTTTTCTAAGGAGTGAATTAGGACACACAGTGGAAAGTGCCTGAAGAAATTAAGTGCATTCAAAGTACATCTGAATTACTGAGAGTTTTAAGAACATTAGATTGCCCATTTTCTTCTGTGTAATTTGTAAATTATCTATTTTAATTCCTCCATTTTACAAATGAAGATAATGAACCTTAAAAGTAGCAGGGACTATTTCCAGCTCCATTCAATAAAAGCCAAGTCTTCATTTTATAAAAAGCGTTCACTGTAGTTTTCATGGAGCAAATTAGTGGCAACTTGAGTCACCATGCAGTGCCCTAGTGAAATATTCCTGCTTAACTCTAATGGATCTAGGCAGTGACTTTCTTAGTGGTGATGGCAATCGTCCCTCGGTTTATGGTCCTGGTCATAGCTATATCACATGTTATTTTTATTTATTTTGTATATTTTTACTTTTATGTTTGCCTTTTTGTTGAGAAAATGTCAGAGAACATACATGTATACAAACTTACAGTATAAACATTAAGGCTTTTTAAATTGGCTGCCTTTTGCCACTTTTTGGAAGGCAAGTTGCAAATTTAAGGGAACACTTCATAATCTCATTCATTTGCAGAAGTTGGCATACATCAGTGGAGAAAAAGAACATTCAGAATTCACCCTGGGACTCTATGAGTGCCTTAGGTGATTGAGCAGTGCTTTTACTTTTTCATGATGTTATATGTAAAGGATGCAACTACTGTAATCACTATTCTGTGCCACTCTAAAAGTAGCCTCATAAAAAGTGTTCATTAAACTGAAAATAGTTTACTTGGCATTTCCTAAAACTCACCAGATCTGTTATCAGCAGCAATTAAAAAATCTTTAAAGGTATTTGTTTGTATTCAATTATCACACATTAATATTTTCTTATCTTTATCTTTCTAAAACCTTACTTAACGTTTCTGCCTCATCTGCTAATTTACTGACATTTCATCTTACGGTAATAGTAATTGTTTCTCCTATCAAACATACCTTATCTTTTCAGATGGTATTTCATTCTATCCCTGAACTTGAAACATCTTTCCCACCCTTTTTCTACTTGATGAAATTTTCTTACTCATCACTAAATGCTCAGCTATATTAGAGTCCCTTCAAGAAGACTTCCCTGTACTCTCATATTGGGTGATATACCTCCTTTCTGTTCCCATCATGCCCCATCTTGTCAGCAATCATCATGGTATCTTGGCCTTTCATGAATCATCTACTCCACTCTCAGATATTTTGTTATCACAGGGCAGTAACAGTGTCACATTCATCTGTCTACTTCTAGGAACCCCACAGTGCTTATTATAAGACGATGCTTAATAAATGCTCATTAAACAAAAGGAAAAACTACAGTATAAATCTCCCATACATACAAATATGAGCATATTCCAGGAACACTTACTTGAGACATCAGATTTTTTTTTTGTTATAACATTTCACTCAGATACAGTGTGCTTTTTAAGGAAACAGAAAAATTTTAATTCAGAGAACAGCTGCCATCTTTTGGGAGAAGTCAGAAGAATCTCTCTCCCTTTTGCTCTCTCCCCTATAAAGCGAGAGCTTATTGTTAATGATATTTTTTGTATGTGAAAGGTAGCTTGAAGAGAAACAGTTGTTCTTGATATTGAATAAATTAATTGTGAAACCTGTTTTGCTTCCTTTTTCTCCAAGTGGATAAAAATATTCATGATTCTAAAGCTGTAAAAGGCTATTCTGAAACTATCCGCAGACAAGGTTGTCATGGAAACCACCATTTTTTTGGAATAGTACAATAAATAGTCATCTAAAGAAATACTGAACACGGCGCACCTTGCTCTGGTAATTATAGATGGTCCAGAATTGAAACATCTATGACATATTTTGCTCTCAGGTGTGCCACCAGAGGATATTTATTACCATAATGGGAAATCTTTGTAAACAGGTAAGATACAAAATGTTTACTTGCAGCAATAACTTGAGGTATGGAATGAGAAGGACACATACTACTACTGCTTCATAAACTCCTTAGTCTCCTCATCCACCTCACACATACATTCACGGCTTATGCAAACAGATAAGAATAAAGACATGAGACAGTAAATTTCAAGATTCACTAGCAACCTAAGAAAGTAGAAGACAAAAGAATTTAAGAATATGTGAAAATCAGGGATAGCTCTAAATTCTCTTTCCCTATACACCCCAGCTTCCTATAGGGAGACTAGATACCAAAGTATATAATAAGAGCTTGGATAAATGAAATTAGAATTTGAAGAACAGTGTTAAAAAAAAAAAAGAATAAAAATAGCATCCTTTCCCTGTCTTCTCCGTAGGTTTTTGGGGTGTGGAAGGCTGCCAAAGAGGTAGGGGATAATTTCTGAATATAGAGAATAATCTTGATTTACGACTGAAGTTTTACCACTTGCAAAACCTACAGAAGTACTTCATGCTTCAGGGGTTGAGGGAGGACAGCCTTGAGTAGTGGCAAAGCTCAAAGTGAAGAGATCAAGATTTTTCATTGAGGAGATGTGATTTATCCAGGCAAGTTTTAAGGAAGGCTGGCCATGGACTCAAGTAACCACCAAGTGGTGTTACATTTGCTAGAGGTTAGGATTAGGAGAGAAAGTCCTGTTATTTATACCCACCCATGGATGCAGGCAAAATAGGTACATGATCATACTACACAAAATAGTCAACATTTGTCACTGCCCCAGTGAAAAGGAAGGAGATGGATTTCAAAGAGAAGGCTTTGAATTGAATAGGGACCATGTTTAAAACCCAAGCCAAAATGATTCTATATTGATCCAATATATTTATTAGAGGCAACAAGATTGTCTTTTTTATTCTTGAGCTGAATAGGAAGTTGTAATACAATTTATATTTCTGAGCAAAAAAGGTTTTACTTTTTATACGTATGATTTTTACATATTACATTCTTGTATATATACATATCAATCTTTACATATATGTGGTATAAAGAGCAAAAGGTTCAGCTCAGGGTCCCAAAGAGATAGTACAAGAAAAAATTAAAATGGGTCATCTAAACCAAACTATTCTGAGTTAAGATCTTTTTGCTTTTTTCAATATTCTATTTATTCTTCCCACTGTGAATGAGTTTTCTTAATCCCTTCCTAATGCAGGCAGGAGGAGAGTAAAACAGAGGATAAGAACATCAGCATTCTCTGAGAAGTTGATTTTTTTTTTTCTTCAACTAGAATGAGAAAGCCAAAGCTTGCTATGGAAAATTACCTAACCTTAAATGTCTAACATTTTTAATGCAAGAAACTATTGGTTTATTAGTGTCCTATGGAACCTGGTTATGATAATTAGTGTAAAAACAAAACAAACTGCATAGAAAGACTTGAACTCTATTTAGCACAAGGGCAGCAGGGGAGAGAGAGAGAAAAGGAGAGAGAAAAACATGATCATTTGTAAGCAAGTGGGGACTAGAATCAGGTAATTATTATACAGTTCTATATTTGTATGTCATTGTTTTTGCTAAAATAAATTGTTGTTACCCTATTTAGCATATTAGGTTTCTTCGAAGGGTTACCCAAGAGTTCTTATATATTTGGTTAGGAAGGAAGCAAAGCTAAGAATGTTATTCAATTTCACAATGGAAATCAATACTACCTAACATTCTACAATAATCCAAGATAAAATATAGAAGCCAGAAAGGACACATAGATCTACTTTAAATAATACTAATTCTCAGAAATTCATGAAGAAATATATGCTCCCAAAGTTTATTTAGCTGTGCTAGGTGTATAACTAGAAACATAAGAAAATTTATTTTCTCTGGAAAGCCCTGCAATATGTTTAAAGTTCTACTAGTTCCCTTTAAATACAGGAATAAAATACCACAAAACAATTGCCAGTTACTGTCAACTAGTATAAGCCTATATGTCATTAAAAATAAAGAAAAAGTATTTTGTATTAGCTTCTAAACATTTCAATACATTTTCTTTTAATGTTTTTTAAATTAATGTGTCAAACTAGTTAAATAGTAAGAGGTATGTGGTGTGTGTGTATGTGTATGTGTACGTGTTTGTGTGCGCGTGCATGAGACACAGGGAGAGAGGAGAGAGAAAACTAAAAAGTGGATCATTATTACCTTACAGAACATAGAAAATTTTCTCAGTTTAAAAAAAATGCTCTTATTATTAGAAAATTCCCCCAGGCAGTCCACTGACTCCATTTATACTTTTAAAATACTACTTAAAGCTCCATTTATTACAAATAACATTCTTCCTATTTTTAGACTGTTACCTTCCCTGATATTCATGATCTATTTTGGGGAAAAGATCAACTCATCAGGGACATCACCTGATTGTATCATCAAGAGGTCCCTAGGGAAAGGCAGAAACAAACAGACAAGCTGAGTTAACTCTCCCATAGACATGGGACTGGTCTGAATAACTGCTCAGCATAGAAGCTGACGTTCTTGAGCAGAAATCCATCGAGCACAAGTTTCCACATCCGGTAAGGGACTAGGTTATAGCAGCACATTAGAGACAGTGAATTAGGTAGAAAACTTCCAAAGGAGATGTTTATTCCTTAACCTGCTTCACAAATGATTTGAAATCAATAGGAAGCTGAAACAGAGCTTCTTGGCAAAGTGAAATTCATGATCATCTGCTGAAGTAAATATTTTAACAAAAGTTTATTCTTCACAAGATTTTTGGCCTTATTTCAGTAAAACTTTCAGGAACTATATTTAGGTACAACAGAAAAATATATATATATCATTATTGCTATTGTTATTAGTATAACTGTGATTATTGATTAGTGCTTTTCTTTGCTGCTGCTGCAGCTGCTGCTACTGCAAAAAAGAAAAGATTTGGTTTGCGCTCTTGCTATCTATCACTATATAGTAATAATAAAATTCTAAACTTAGTGGTTTAAAACAACAATATGTTATGTCTCGTGACACTGTGGATTGACTAGGCTCAGCAAGGCAGTTCTTACTTTGCGTCAATTGTGTAGTGAGATGTTGGCTGAGGTTTCAGTTATTTGAGGTTCTTGAGCATGGCCCTCAAATTGTTTCCCTATCTTCTTCAGTTATAAATCTATACACATTCTTGCTTACAGTAAAAACTAAATATTCATTACCAATTGAACATTCCCTAGAAAAACTAATTCATTCTTTATGATATTTCTTCTCTGTAAAATACCATTTTCATGTCTCAGTTACTTAGAATAGTAATTTACACAAAGCAGGTCTTAATTACTATGTGTTACATTAGACTGAGCATGTCATTTAGGTTATTAGCACACTTACACATTTGATTATCACTTTTACATAAAAGCATCTGCACTCATATTCTTATGAGTTAGATTATAATCCTGAAGCTAAGGATTTGCAACATATTTGAAGCTTTCTGACTAGTAGGATTCTTATTGTTTATTTTAGAAGACAAAAATGGTATTTGAATAACTAATAATAGCTGACATTTGTCTTAATATTATTAAATATAAAATTAAATATATTTATATAATACTAGAAAATTATATTAATATAGTATATATTATCAATATCCAATATATTATGTATTATTAATATATTTGTTATATATTAGATATTAATATATTTATAATATATTAATGTATGTACATAATATATTAAGTTCACAACTTAACATATGTTATCCATACATTAAGATAAAATATGTTATCTTAGTATATGTTAAGCTATATTGTCAGGACTTGTCCCTGGATCACCTCCAGATTCAACATTCTTAATCACTGTGCTATGTATTAGGTTGGTGCAAAAGTAATTACGGTTTTTGCCATCAAAGGTAATCCATTAAAGGTAATGACAAAAAACAGTGATTACTTTTGCACCAATCTAATCACTGGAAATGTAAAGCAGCACTCAAAGAAACTGGCAAGACTCAATACATTACTTCTTTTTTCTGCATAAAAGAAGTACAATGCAATCTAGTGGGAGTACCCAACAACACCATCTTTGTAAATGTAATGCATTCTGGGATTAATAGTTTGAATAGTATCCAATTTCCATTGGTAGGTCATAAAATTTGAATGTTGACAATTTCATATAATTTAAACTAATATTAATAGTAAAATTAAAGATATATATATATATAGAGAGAGAGAGAGAGAGACAGAGAGACAGAGTGAGAGAGAGACAGAGAGACAGAGTGAGAGAGAGAGAGAACTCTAATTGTCAATTCTCTTTCTTTTAATACCTTGGTACGAAAAAAGGAAACAAACCAAGTTTGGTTTTAAAGTTGCCAACAATATTACAGCAGTTATTACATTGTAGGAAATAATTAGTGCAGTATTCAGAAGGAAGGTCATCCAAGTGATAGTAAAATATTATGAAGAGATTCATCGGTTTGATTGTGTTATTCATAGCTAGTGATAATAAGTAATTTAAAAGGAGCTAAATGTATTTTCTTTTTGCTATAAAATGGATCTATTTCCACAAAATTTTCAGAAAAATAAATATTTTCCTGAAGGTTAGTATTCACAACTAAGGAACAAATCCTTACAGTAGGTATTTTTGAATATATTTGTACATGTAAGTGTGTGCATATGTATAGGGGAGGGTATGTGTATTCTGAATGATCACATTAATAAAACAAATCAGGAAAAATGAAAAGTAGACCTGAAAAAGAAAGCTGCTCAGCTAGGGAAGGTTAGCTTGCTAAATGACTGTCAAGGGGCCTCTCCTATTGGCATTTATCTTCATGAATTTGTCCCATTGCAGTATCTGGCACTCAATTTTGCAGGCTCAGAGACTTGAATTTTTCAGTTTCTCAAAGTTGACAGGCACTGATATCATTGATTAAAAATGACAAACTATAAGAAACAGTTTAGTAAAAAGCATGTCTATTTCTTAATTTATAAAATTATGTAACTGCCCAGTGAACCAGACCAGCATGCTGTCTTTTTAGTATCTTTTCTTCAAGGAGATAAGCTACCTAGGAACACACATTATAATCAGAAGTTTGTAGGAACTTATGAAGTCAGAATGAGAAGAATCAATTCTTTGTAGGGAAAGCATGAAGCTGGAATGGGAAAAATCAATTTTAGATGTATGGGCTTGATGCCATGAGATTAAAGAAGATAATGAGTCAGACTTCCAATATGTGTGGATTATTCTTGCCTTTCAAAATGTTACAGGTTTCCTTCAGTGCCACTTTGCCAGCCAGAAATCTCTGTGACCACTTCTGCCCGGGTCTCACTCAGGCCCTCTGGGCTCAGCCCACTCAGCCTGGCAGGCTTGTGCCCCAGCCTGGATCCCACACCCACCATGGTTCTGCACTCAGCCCATGGCTAGATTGGGCAGGTGTGAGCGGCTTCCACATGGCTGCCACCATCTAGATGACGGAAATGTGTGATGACACCCAAAAACTCAGAAATGCCAACAATCATGTGGCCCCAGGGGGTGTTAATCTTGCTCAAAGAGTCTCGAGGTCTGAGCTCCCAAGAAATGTCGCAGCTTTTCATTCCCATAGCTCAGCAAGTGAAACCTTGTCACAGCTCTCTTTCTTCTGTAGTCCGGCGAGTGGGAGCGTATTACAGGTATTTTCTTTCCACTGCCCACACAGCTCAGTGAGCCAGCCAGGAGTGTCACAGCTCTTTCATTCATGCCACCTGCAGCTTGGTGAGTTCCAGGTTCTTGTCCCGTGACCAAGAGGAATAAGATGCATGGACACCAGAAAGTGAGTAAGGCAGAGAAGAATTTTATTGAGTGACAGAAGGAAAGCTCTCAGCCACAAGAGGGGGCCTGAGAGTGGGTAGCCAGGTGTGAGGCTGAGTCTGGGTTTTTATGGGTTTAGAATGACCAAGTGCCTGCCGTTTGGTCCACAGGTGTTCTTGGAAAAAGCACCATTCAATTGGTTAAAAAGCATCATCTAGAAGGAACCAATTGCGAGACAGTGAGGAAGACAGAGATAGAAGTTCTCACTCCAGTAATTAACTCCATCTGGAAGCATCAGCTTGGTTTTCAGGCTTTAAACAGTTTTTGGTTTGAAGGTTGGGTATCAATGGAGACCTGCTTCTGTCTGCCTAGGAATTTGTCTGTCTCCTGTCACTATCACAATAAGACAGGCTTGATCTTGGCTAGGGTACACTTTTCCCTGGACAGGGTTTGAGTGGGAACTCGATTGGGAATGTTGATCTTTGCATGCCATGCCCCCAACAATTCTTAATGACATCTGCCTTTACCATTTCTCCTGCTGTTAAGTAGTTATATCTCTTCACAAACCACGGGCCTCAGCTACTGGGGCCAGCAGTGAGCACTTGACCCCAAACAACTGATCCCCAGGCTGATGAGACCATCTAATGACCACTGTGGGTTCTGGTTCAAAATGATGAGTTTAAAAAATAGTTTTCTCTCTTAGAATTTTGAATGGGAGTAGGAATAGTGGCAGTATGCTGAAATTGAAGCACTACACTTGTTCAAGGTAAGCAATAAGGGTAAAAAGGAGAGGTTGTGTTGCCTAGTGCAGCAAGGAGAAGGAAGTCAGTCCACAAAGAAAAGCAATGTAAAAGAGACATCCTCCTAATTAAGTTTAAAAAAAAAAATTTCCTCTAAGACCATTTAGGTGACTTTCTATGTTTCACCATTTATATCCAAGTCAAAGAAACACTGTTGAAATGTCCCCGATGAATTTTGTTTTTCTATTTTTTATTGCTTACGAATGCATGTTTGTGATAGACACATTATCTTTATATGTTAACATCAAGTTTTCTTCCAACTCAGTTATCCTTTCTTTCTCAACAAAACTTGGCATTATTTTATCACAGGTTTAATTTACGAGATAACTTGAAGGGCAACCGAGTTTCTCTTATTTCCATGTTCCTCAGTGACTGTATCTCATAGTCTTCTCTCAATTTGCCTATAGGATATATTTAAAGTTACCAATGCTTCAATATTTATTTGTTCATTTGTAACTTAGCATTTACTTTAAGTACAGTTTGATACAATACTTAACTTTAAACCAGAAATGCATTTAAACAATCTATATTTTGAAAATAATTTTATCTCCTTTTTTTTTTTTGGAGACAGAGTCTTGGTCTGTTACCCAGGCTGGAGTACAGTGGTGCAATCTCAGCTCACTGCAACCTTTACCTCCTGGGTTCAAGCGATTCTCCTGCCTCAGCCTCCCAAGTAGTTGGGATTACAGGCATATGTCTGCTAATTTTTTTTTTTATTTTATTTTAGTAGAGATGGTGTTTAGTAGAGATGGCCTCCTGGCCTCAAGTGATGCACCCCCTTTAGCCTCCCAAAGTGCTGGGATTACAGGCATGAGCAACTTCACCTGGCTTCATAATTTATTCTTATGTAATTTATACGTTTTGTACTTACATGAACTTTTAAACTTTTAACAACATTTCAATATTTAATATGCTATGAAAGTTAAAATTTAAAAAAATCAAAATGCATCCATGCAGTTTATCAGATGTAAATATAGGAACTTGAAAATGCAGTTAATGCTTTTACAGATTATAATCAATTGTTGTTTTACCAGTTACTTTTAATTTTATAAAATTTAAAGCTCATGAAAGCCTAACAACATATATTTGTCACAAAGTAGTTTTACTTATTTTTCAAAGAAATAGTATGAATGCAGAAATGGATTTCACTACAAAAGTGTCAAATTTTTTTTCAGTAATTGGAGTCATAAGTCATTTTTAGCCATCTTACTCCCTTTGAATTGGTGCTTTTATGTTGCCTAAGAATATGTTGATACATTTTCATTGCCTAAATTTGGTTGAAGAATGCTGCGTGTATAAAGACAAGCTACCACCTGAAATTCTCAGGTCAACATTTAAATTTAAAGGTCTTTTTTATTGTTGGCTGTTGTGCTAAATCTTAACCATATAGCAAATCTGAAGTAGCAATCCAATCTATATTAAAAAACTAAATAACACTTGATATGATTTGGCTGTGTTGCCACCCAAATCTTATCTTGAATTCTCATGTATTGTAGGAGGGACCCAGTGGGAGGTAATTAAATCATGGGGGCAGGTTTTTCCCATGCTGTTCTCATGACGAAGTCTCACAAGATCTGTGGGTTTTAAAAATGGGACTTTCCCCTCACAAGCTCTCTCTCTGTTTGCCTGCTGCCATCCATGTAAGACGTGACTTGCTCTGCCTTGCCTTCCATCATGATTGTGAGGACTCTCCAGCCACATGCAACTGTAAGTCCATTAAACCTCTTTCTTTTGTATATTTCCCAGTCTGGAGTATGTGTTTATGAGCAGTATGAAAATGGACTAATACAATACCTTAGTACATGGATTAAGTTAAAATTAAAAAGAAATTTTCAGATCTTATTTTCTAGATATTTAAATATTTAGTATAAAAAGTTATTGTAATGTAATTGATAACTAAGGTTTATCTTCCAGAATGCCAATAGAACCCTCAATAAGATGACATGTTTATAATTTCCTTCCTGTCATCAATGTTATATATCTCCTTTTAGCATCTACAGGTAAAAAGCAATATTGTTTATGAATAATCAGAATTAGTTGTTAACTGTTTAAAAACTCTTGACTATTAGTGTGTACTTTTTCTATCAAATATGTAAATAAATATTTATTTATTATTTGCTTTTGATTCAAACCAATGACTAATTGGATCTCAAAGAGATTGTCACTGTATATCTAAATACAAGTTATCATGCTCAATTTCTAAAATTAATAAAAGTACACATTTATAAACAATACGTATTTGTTTTTTAATCAACCTTTTTTCTAGACAGATTTCTGTAGTACTCTACTAGGTTCAGTTGTCCACTCAGATAAATTTTTGCTTCTACATCACAAAAATCATATTGTTGTTTAGCCCAGTAACAGTTCATAACATTGATCACTGGTACTTTTGATACCAAAAGATATTCCTTGTTGCCTACTAATTTTATTAATGATTACACTTTCATTTACTGTCTCATTGAACAATTACAGTTTTGGTATTCTTTTAAGATTTACCCTAAATTAAATAAAATATTGGACTTCTTATTGTAACTTTAACTCTCAGCAGTTAAATGATGAGGAGACACTGGTTTAGGTCAAATATTTTGTGTCTATACCCATGCTTCTAAGTCATCATTACTGCATCCAATAACACTGAGAAAGGGGAGTTGAAAATATTGTTTTTTAACTTAGATTTCTTGATTTGCAGCTTCAATTTGAATGCATCTGAGATTTTATAAATAAGGTCTGAAGAACAGTTGGTTCTAATAAATGCTAATATGTGATCTGTGAAAAGATTCTTTAGTAAAAAATTTAGATAACACTATATATGTATATGTGGAATTATATATAACATATCTATGTATATATAATTATATGTAATAAGTTATATAAAATACATAATAGTGTTAAAGGCTCAGAAATATGATATTCATTTAATTTCACTTATCCCAGTTTATATCAAACTCAGTTAACCTGGGAACATTATTTCTGCATAGGAATTTTAAGTATTTCATATGTTATAAGAATTCTCAAGAAGACAGTTAAAAATTACTATAATAATCTATACTTGATAAAACCACACTGATAAATCCAAAATGTTCTATGTCTGAAAAATATTTTGAAAATTCAAAATACATTTCAGAGCATAATCCTTAATGACTATGTAACAGGCAGTTTGAACAACTTTGCATTTACTATACATATATACCATTTTGAGTGAAGACTAAATACTAACTTTGATCTGACCTTATGAGCCAGGCTGAATAGAACATGATTTTATGACATAAGCATCCTTGAGAGCATGTCCTGACTTTTGTATTTCTAGAAATGAAAGTGAAGACTACATGCAATAAAGTGCTGTTAGGATGTACCAAAGTAAATCTTTTATGACTCCAAGCTCTTAAAAGTAAAATGTGCACTTTTAAAAGTTGCATATTTCTCAAGGACTAAACTAAGCATTTTCTTAAGTTAATGCATTTATCTCTTGTATGGTTTCAGTGACCCTCTCAAACATTTTAGGAAAGCTATTCACATACTGTGGTTTATTGTCCATAAGAACACCATTTAAGTCATGGGAAATAAACAGTCTCCAATGAACAGACTGACTCTTCAGAAAGTTCAATTTAAGTTTGTTATTTCATACTCTGAATTGTAGTTTCCTTTAGAAGAATGTTGGCACTAGCTAGGCTACACAATACATCAAATAGTTAACCAGGACACCTCATCACCTTTTATAAAATGGTTTTCTGTGTTATAAGTTAAGCAACCATGAGACTAAAAATAGCTTTCTTACTTTCTAGCGTGAATTGCTGTGCAAGCATCAAGTTAAATATTTTGAGCAGGCATTTTACTTACTGTGGGGCAAAGTCGTATCTCTTGAATTAATCTGAAATAAATTCCTATTTATCCAACTCCAAACTATGTGCAGATAACCAGACAATAAAAATGTACTGGTTTGAGTATGAAGATTGTATCAATATGCTTTTAATTAGTTTTCCAAATGTATTTAAGTAGGATGAACATGATCTTTACTAGCATTCCTTAATGTTTTTTAGTCTGTATAACCTCCAATAATTCATCAAAGTCTGTGGATCATTTTCCCAGAAAAATAAATATCATATTTTAGGAGGCTCACAGGTACTGAAAGACATCTAGTGTTATTGTGGTTTTTACTAAAATTAGAGACTATTATCTTAAAACATCAAGAATTATACATTATTCTCTGCATTGTTATAAGTTTCTGCCTGAATATCATTTTCTAATACATGTACATAACTACAATTACTAGCACCCATATAATTTTTTTATAATTTGAAAAACATTTAATACATGACACAGAGGGAGGACAAATTTTCTAAAATATCTAATAAAATCTTGTAGAGATTACAGACTAGTGGTTATAAGATACAAAAGATATCCAGGAGGTTATAAGAAGGAACTTCCTTGGCAAATTATGTGTGTTTCAATGCCAAGTAGATTTATCCTCTAACTTTCTATGATTCCTTCCTTTCAAACTCCATCCATACAATATGGGTAGTTTAATTTCAGGTGGGACTGAAAGCAGATGAAGATTAAATTATGGAGTGTGGCAGGAAATATCTTCTCGTAGCCTATAAGAGTCTTCATTGGAAATAGACCCCTTTGAGTCAGAATTAAATAGTGACTATGCTGCTTTCCCATTTGACACTTTGATCTAATAAGGAAAATAAAACACCCCAGTTTATTCAAATCAGATTGATCTTTGTCTTCTTTTAAATTATAAACTCAAAGTCTTCAAATACTATATTAAAAAAAGTGTGAAGACCCTGACAACGATGAAGTTAAATTTTATTAAATAAGTATTTTAGACTTTGAGAAATATTCATAATCCCTGGCAGAGATTTGATTAGTGAATTGGGCATCTTCTTCTACCCAAATGAACTGATAAGGTATTATTCTGTCAGTTGATGAAGGAATACAGAGAACAGAAAAGTTGATTCACTCTCCTTTGCACACAAGTTCTATTTCCATAGAATTCCTTCCATTCTAACCTTCAGCTATATGGTTATCTGCCTAAGTATTGTTCACTATTTTTTTGTAAGAGGAAACAAAAATCAAAACATATAGTTTTTTTCTAATTATTTTTACAGATGCAAACGATAATCTCTTAATTTAGGAAGATCAATTTTAATTTTTAATCTTTTTAATTTTTATGACTACATAGGAAGATTAATTTTAAAATATCTGTTTATAATCAGTTATATTATAGGTTAACTATTAGTGTCAGATTTTAAAAAATGATTTAATTATGAAATTTTTCATGATGAAAAACGTTCAGTATTCTGCTTTGAATTAATTTGGAATCCATATCACACACATAGATGAATTTATTTATAGACCACCTGACACTACTAAATTGTTCTCTTTTGCAGGTCTTTGCCTATTTATTTATAAGGTATGTAAAAATAAATGCAACTTTACCACATAAATATTCATGGATTCTATGTATCTGAATATTTATATAGCACCTGCCAACGACTTTGACAGACATGAAAGCTTAGAATGCATTTTACAAGGTTGAGAACAGGGTGAGGGAGGATGTTTATTTGGCATTAGGCTTCAGGTTACTTCTAATACAAATGTGCTGTGAGATTATACAACAGACACAAAAAAGACAATATTAGTTAGAAATGAAAAAATTTTGGTCAATTTAGAAGCTACAATATTTACCCATGTATTAGGCTAAAATCTTTATATGATGAAATTTTGGGGTCTTATTCTAATCTTGACAATTTTGCAAATATAAATTATTTCCTGAGGAAAATTCTGGTTGGGGCCATAAACATCCTGTTATCCCCCACCTACGTATAGATATGAGATTCTCCTTTCAGTGAGAAAGTAGTTATGAGACTTAGTTTCCATAATAAAATTCCAATGCAGCCACCTTTTTTATTTGTTTCTAAAACTCAGAACTGCCTTAATGAGCAGGCTTGTACTAAAGTTCAGCAGAGCTTTAATTAGGGAAATAGAAGCAAGCAGTTAACAATTGTTGATTATCAACCAATAATGCAATCTTCCTGCTTTATCCACAACTCACATGAAAAATGTCACATAGAGAATAATCTAGAAAAGATAACATGGGAAACATCATTTATCTAATACTTTACTAACCTAAGAGTTTAGATCAAGACATCCTTAGTTAAATTAGATTATTAGAGGGCTATGTGGTTTGAGCATATGATACTTTCCCTTTGCATTTGCATAAAGTGGTTATGGTGCTATGGCTTCAACATATATCAAAACTCGCTATATGTCCTTTCCCTTTCCAATCCTTAAATATCAGTGTTCTGCAGATTTCTGCTCAAAGTTATTTTCTGGAATATGGAGGTAGAAATATGTGCTGTATTGCCAGACTGGCTTAATTCAACTCTGTGTTCTGACATTTATAAGCAATGTTAGCTTGTGAAATTGACCAACTTTCTTTGTAAAATAGCCTTAATAATAGTACCCATCTCATTGGGTTCCTGTTAGTATCAAAGGGATTCAATATGAAGCATTTAAACCTGTGGCTCAAATGGTAAACTCCAGAACTCCAGAGGAAATGTTAGAATCACATTGTGAGCTCTCCTCATCTCATTCTGAAACTTCTCCCTGAGTAATCACAATCACTTTTGTGGCTGAAATTAGCATCTATTGGTTGATGATCAACAATTGTAAACCACTTCTATTCTCCTAATTAGAGGTTGTTACCTAAGTGCTCTTTAAAAAAGAACTCTATGCAACTTTAAGTGAGTGCATCTTAAAATAATTTGAATCTTGGTTCCCTCCAGTATAGTTACTATGTTCTGCTCTGTGATATTTTGTTTCCCATTATGTATTAGGTCCAGACACTACCCCGATCTAGCAACAACTAAAATTCTACCTTTTTTGATCACCATCTTTAAGAACATAGCCTAGGGTGCATTTTCATTTTCTTTTTACCCTCATCTACCATGCCCTCGAGTTCTCATTTTCTCCTTCATAGCTCTCTACTTTGTCTCTTAAGATCTAAGCCTCTCTGAGAAGGAAAAGTCTCACTTTCTCTAGCTAATGAGCTTTTATATTTAATCCTGAAGCAGTTTTTTTTTTCTAAAGAAGATTTAGCTCCTTTTTGATTTTTTGAGTAAATGTAATCCCCCAAAGACAGAGTATTCAAGGCATAGAGCTTTTTAATGTCCCTTGCCTTTGGATTTGCAAGGATTTTGGAAATCACATCGTGTTATTTTATTTTTAAATAATATATGCCTTTATTTCTTCTTTTAAAATTAGCCACCTTTCTGTAAATGAAACTCTGATATAAAACTCATATTCATGACTTCTAAAATCAACAAACTCAGAGCCAACATTTTACCACATGGTTAAGGTTACATTAGTCTACTCAAATGAAGCATAAAATATTAACAGGAATGAAATTGTACTGCTAATCTAGCAAAACTTGTTTATATTTTGAGCTGTTTTAATGTTAGAATATTCTTATTTTTCAATAGTTCATGTGGAACTCAGCTGTTTTTGCAGTTTAAAGATGTAGCTTGCAGAACTAGCTGAGCCTCATCGTAAAAACAGGAAATAATGTTCCCGAAACACTTTCCATTTCTTGGTGTGGTTTCACTAGGTGGAAAAGTTTCCCTTATGTTTTCTTTTTTTCCCTGTTTCTGTCTCATCTGAAATTTGAATAAAAAGCATAAGGTTTAAGGTCTTCTGTTATAACACACGCAATGAGGCTCCTGTGACCATATTTACCAAGGTTTCCATGGCAGCCATTTGCCTGTTCCCCCAAGCCTGTTATTTGCTGATTTCTCTGTAGCCAGCAATTGTCAAGCTAACATAAGGCAAAATGACATGCCAAAATTAAAATCCCACGAGTAATATTTACTAAAACATAAGGCCTACAATCACTGCCCCAGTGACATCAGTTTAAACATAACCACCTAGGTATGCAACCATTAACTCTCTTGTCACATCTTCTGTATCCCCAAGATCTCTGATCATACTAGATTTTTTGTTAGTGCCTAGGGCACAGCCAATTGCTCTTCTCATAACCTTGTCTGGCCAACCTCTACTCATCCTTAGGATCCAGCTCATCACTTCCTTCTGAATATTTTCCTTGACCTTCCTCACTAGATTAGTTGCCTGGACTTATGTGTATTATATTTCTCCCAGCATGACACAGCATATTTTTATTGTTTCTTTTCTAATTATATTAAAATTATACAAAATTTTGGAAGGAAAACAAAGGAGTTCCATCAGATGAAGTAAAAAAGTCCAGACCAAAAATGGAGATTAGCTAAATACAAATTTCTGCTACATGAAAGCACTGTCCTGCTCATCTTACATTTCTGTTGCGTAGCAGAATTCTTGGGTAACATTTTAAATATGTTGCCCGATACGTATTTCCCACAATAATTATTTCCAGATTTGATTTGAGGAATATAGTGAATTCCCTTCAGGAATTAGTAGCATATTGATTCTATCTTTTAATTGTGTTAGCCAGAAATTTTAGGATCAGGTTGTATTCTCAATTATTCTGGATTTTGCTTTAATGTCATGGTGGCAGTTTACAAAAAAATGGTTGTGAGTTCATCACTGACTGTGTCCATGCTACTTAGCAATAGTTTTGTACAGGTCCTCCATTCAAAGGAAGACTCACTCTATTTCCCCTTTTCTTAAATCTGAGATAGCTTTGTGACATGCTTAGACCAATGAAATACAATGGAAATGGCTATATATCAGTTGAAGTCTATGTTTCAAGAGACCTCACAGGCATTTGCTCATGTCTTCGAAACTCGTTTTTTGTTTTGTTTTGTTTTTTGTTTTTAACAGGGTTTCACTCTATCCCCAAGGCTGAAGTTCAGTGGCACAATCACAGTTCACCACAGCCTCAACCTCTTAAGCTCAAGCAATCTCCCTACCACAGCCTCCCAAGTAACTTGGCATGACTCTGCCAATGTGCCAAGTGAACATTCTTGGGTTAGCCTTGATGGAACGATGTATACATGATCCAGTCATTTTTGTCACCCAAGTCAATAGCCTGAAACCTGCTGGATATGTGAGGGAGGCTATCTTAGGTCATCTAGCCAAGCCAACCTACTATGTGAGTGTAGATGTATGAGTGAGTCTAGCCAAGATCTACTGAGTGTGGCTCCGACTTGCAGAATTATGTGGCTGGCCTAAACTTCTGTAACTAATAAATGTTTGTTGTTTTAAGCCACTAAATTTTGAGGTGGTGTATTGAGCAGAAATTGCTTCTTAATAATTTCTTCCCAAATGATCTTAGATTTAAAAGCAACTCCTCCTCAAAAAACTTTTTTCTCAGTACCATTTTTCTTCCTCACAGATTTATATGTACATGTTTGGCAATATTTATACATGTACATATCTATGCTAAATTTCTTTATTATTGTTTTCACCCACTCCTAAATTAGAATGGAACCTCCATATAGACAAGTATTTTATTTTTTTTCTATCGTATCTCCAACACTTAAAAAAATAACTTTGCACAGACTGGGTATGCAATAAATGTTTCATCAATTAATCTTAGCAAATTAATTTATTCTTAAATATGAAATATGTACCTCTTTCTTGTAACTAAAATTCCTCCTCCTCTTCCCCATAATTTGATTAAAAGTTTCACAGTTCTCAGCTTTATTGTTACCAAATATTAGTTATATTAAAACAGATAAAAGAAATGAATGCATGATCACTGACATGAATCGCTATAAAAGTGCATGAAACTCTGTTCTAATAAAAAAAGTATAACTGATCCTAGTGAAAGTCAGGCATAACCCCTGGCATGGAATACAATACAAAACTTAATTAGAAAAATAAAATCTCTGACTTCTTTCAACTTTTTCTTTACAGAAACCAATAAACATTATCACAGTCTTACACAGAGTAGGTAGTTGATTATTTGGTTTCAAAATTTTCTACCTCTTAATTTATGATTTAATAATCCAAAAAAGGGAAGAATGGATTGTTGTTTCTAGCAAAGCAAAAATAGTTACTTCAACCCTGTATCTTCTTTAAGTAAGGAAGTATGCAGGGCATATGTGTTCGCTGATGGACATAAAACTAGCCATCCCATCTGGTGAATGAATTCTGGAAATCAGTTGGTGGTGTGTTCCAGGTCATTCACTTTCACATTGTATTAGATATGCCATTAAGAGTGAATAAATTGGAAATTATTTTCTAAAATAAATTGGCTCTATAGCAACCTAAAAACACTCAAATTTATACTAAAAAAAATTTTAATAAATGAGAAGTTTAATCCACACAACAATGTTGAAAAGATGAAAGATATTATGAAAATTCCAGTTGTGTTACTTTATTGCTCTATATAGATTAATATTCTAATATTAAAAGAGCATTTTCAAAAGGAAAATGTTATTACATCTTATTTTCTTAAAAGTTAAACAGATGAACATTGTGTTTAACAACCTTAGATGAGTTGTAAAAAATTGAGAACATCTCAGAGTTCATGATAGTAAAACAAGGCATAATTCTTCAAGTCATAGTAATTATGCTAGTTATCACCCCATTACTGATATAATGTGAAGCTAATAAGCCAAGTAATTAGTATGCTGTAGGTCAGAATTTTCACCTCAGTAGCTGAAGGGTAAATGAAGACAAAGCAGTGTAATATTAAACATACAGGCAAAAGCTCAGTAATTCCTTATAATGAAAAACTAAAAGATTATTAAAGAAATAGTATATTTATATTTGCTCCTTGAAGAAAAAATATGAGAAACTAGTTTAGTTTTTAAGCTCAGTGAAGGGTAAGACATATTCAACTGTGCTAATTGATATTATTAAATATATAACACACTGAAATGTAACACATGTTGTACATATGTATAAATCATGCATAGATTGGTTATGCTCCTCTCAAGTGATTCCTGTAATCTCTTACTTGCAAGTAAAGTTTTTTTTTTTTTTTTTTTTTTTTGCTGTCATAGGAAAAAGAGATAAAACAAACTTGCATCAGACAGCTGGTGCCATCAGAAGGAAAAAGATAAAAGAAATCAAATGGAACCAGATGTTCAGAGGAGTTTTCCTATTGTCCTGTAATGGGGGCTAACTACAAGCTGAGGACAAAAGGAGCTAACTACTCCCCAGTTCTATGTTTAGGGAGATACTACAGATGGGAAACAAGCTCTGCTCTGTAAAGTTTCTTAAGAGAAACAGAGCAGGCACTGAATTCACTAGTGCCTACTCCACTCGGATCCCAAAAGGGGACTGTGTCTTTGCAGGAGTTCAGTGTTCTGGAGAGACAATATTCTTTCCCCTTGAGAGTGGAGTGGTCCTTCCCTTTTTCTTAGGTCAAGTTCAGCAGGAAGAAGGATGTTTATTAGGGAGTGTTCTTGAGATAAACACACGTGGAAAAGAGGGCAAGAAATTAAGAATGGGCAGAAAGAAAAGCTGAGCTGTGGTGCAATACAGTTAAAACAAAGAGCTCAGTCAACTACATGGGGAGCAATGGAGCTTGGATAGCCAGGTTGACCTGAGCTAAGTTGAAAGGCCAGTTTTTTATACCCTTACTCTGTGAAATTACTGGATGTAGGCTGCACCTGGAAGGTGGCACAATTTTGGACTAGACACTTGTCTACTTGTCTCTAACCAGGAAATCCCCATGAAGGCTGACAAGCCCTTCATTACTGAGGGTGAGCTGGGTAGCGAGAAACAGCATCCATTTTGCTAACCTTGTTCAATTTTGACAAGGAATATGGCTGGGAACTTCCAAACAGAGAAAGAACAGAATGACACCATTGGCCCCCAAGCCCTTCTCACAGCCCAGAGTGACACAAATAATGGGTTGTGGAGTCCAAAATTTGATGAAAGAGAGCAGATGATATTTAAGGACTTCCATCTTATTCAAACAGCATCAATATGGGTGTTGGAGCTGTACAAAGTTGTTGTGTGCATGCTAATAGGTATGGGTCAGCTGAAAGAGGTTATCAGATACCACAGGGAAAATCAAACCTAGGGGGTTTATACAGGAATAAGCCATTTTCTGCCTACATCTAGTCCATAGAAATGGGTCATAGTCAACCAAGATGAAGATTGCAAAATTATTTAATTAAATGTCGATACAACCTTTTTTAATGCTTTCTCCCTGTCCTATAGCCACAGAAGATTAAGAATGAAGGAGGGGAGTATGTGCAAAGAACCATCATACTTAATTCCCACCTCTTCAAACTGCTAGAGCCACAGACAATCCTGGAATACCCCAAAAGAGAGGAGGTATATACAAACCAGAAGTATTTATGATTTATGGTCTTTGGGACCACAGTTGATCTTTGAGGATTGAAGCCAATGGATAAAAAGCCTCTACGTTTTGCCCTCTGGGGTAGAAAATTCTAAGATTCATTATAATATTTTTCATAATGCCCTAAGAAAATCAGCATCCATTGCCCTCAGTTTGTGCAACTTAATACTACTTTCTTGTATTATCAATTCCTTCATTGTTTTCCTCCCCCTTAATCCTGTGTCCTGCTGTTATATTTCTAAGACTTTGTTTCAGACTTTGTTTTCCAGGGGTCCCAAGCTAATATACACAAAAACTGTAATTTTCTTTGTATTTATGTTTAATAGGAATCTTTTTAATCCTAGTTTTGCAGAAACAAGACATTCTATTAGGAATGCAAATTATAGCAGTGATACATTTGATAGAAAATAGTGTTCTTCTTCACCTATTTCTTGTATTGAAGAAATTAGGATATTTACTCTGAGGGGTCTTTGTACTAGGAATATAGTTTTGTTCTTCCCTGAGTCTGATCTAGGATATCTGGTAGTCCCAATGTTTTCTCTCTGTATCATAGATCTTTGTAAGCTTTATATAGTGGTTTTAGAAATTTGATAGGCTTATAAATATCTTTTTCACCTAAACTCTCTAGCACAAGAAAACTATAAAAATAATGTATTGTAACCTTGGGTTGGACTTGCATTTAAATAATCACTGAGACTATTCTATCTTCTTTTGTTTATTTTTTTTTTTGAGAAACTAGAGTTGTAGGACTATCAAAGTCACTCTGAAATATTCATGTTATAACTTATATATAATATTAGACATTCCAAAAACACGCACTTTCCCTTGCACTGTGTAGTTTCTGTATTTTTTTCTCTCAGTAAAATGAATATACCTTGAACATTTATATAAATCATCAGTAGAGAAATGTTTGTACCTGTCAAGCTGAATAAATGTTCTACACCCCATTCATTGCCATGAATCTACCAACTGACTGCTTATTTATTCATTGTGTTTGCATGTTTGATTTATAAAGGAACAAAACTACATGATTGGGTACTCTAAGTAGTATACCAAATTTTTATCATGAATAAGTGAGAAGCATTGTCACATTTGAGGAAACTTTTTATTGTAACTAGGTGCTGAGAATCTTAACTAAATTCTTAAAAATCTGACTCATAATAAACACCTAATGTTTATTTGAAAGAAGTCAAGATACACATTGGAAGCATGTATAACCACTGTGGTTACTCAAAGCTCTTCTATATTATGAATGCTATAGTGTAATGTATATGTTATCATAATATGTTAGGAAATCATATGAAGCCTATTATTTGTCATAATCTAAAAATAACTTTCTGCTTTTTTGTACAAGAAATTTTCTTTATCAGAAAGAATAATTACATTTGATTAGTAATTACTATATAATACTCCTTTTTTAAAGACTATACCTTAAAAACAAGAGTAAAATTTTGATACCCTGTTCCAAACTTCTGCAACCTTACTTAATTAAATTAGTAGATATGACCTTTCTCTTATGCTTTCTCCCTGTCCCATGACCACAGAAGATTAATAAAGAAGGACGGGATTATGTACAAAGAAATACTACCACCACTGTAGTATGGACTACTTCTCCTTTCTTTGCCTTGTGTTTGATTGTACATCAGAACTAGTAAATTAATACCAAAGCAGATCCAATTAAGTGCTCTCCATTTTAATTTCTCAACCCAACCTGGAGGGAAAAAATTCAGAAATGGCTAACCCTTAATCTCCAAGTCAAGTGTTTCAGTCATGTGTGGAGAAAAGCTCATTTTGCCAAATTGTAGTTTAAAATGGAGAACCTGCTACCCACATCTCAGAAATCAATTTCATTTGCCCAGTCTGTCAGGAGCATAAACCAAGGCAATTGACATACCAGTTCAAATTCCAAGCAGTCCACTCCAAAAGCTGTTTGATTCAAGGGACTATAATTAAAAAATGAAGCCATATCCCAGAGAAAAGGCATGTGCAGTGTGAAACACAACCAGATAGGTAAGTAAAGTACAGACTAGTAGTATTTCTGAATTGACCATTTGGTTGTCTTACACATGTCTATTCAGTCCATGGGGAAAGAGGTATGATGAGTCATCAATGTAGGGCAAAGAAATAAGCAAATAACAAATACTCTGAAATAAAGCCCGATGGTCTCTAACCTCAGTCATAATTGTTTCTTTCCTTCCCTATTGCTCATTTATAGTTCCAACAACATTTTATTGAACATCTGTTCCATGCCACTTACTATTTTATTTATTAAATTATTACAGTAAATAAATGATGTAAAAAAAACCCTAATTTTCAAGAAAGAACAAACTGGGGCTTGAAGAGCTGCAAAGTCTACAGCTGGTAAGTATCACAGTTGGGATTCAATCCTTTGTCTTTTTGTTTCAGGATTCCATGCTGCTGCTCCGCCATGCTTCACACCAATCAATAAGAAGTGTTTCCAGCTGTATCTACGAAATGTCTCTCCAGAATCACTGACAATTCGGTTCACATCATATGGCAATTAGATAATTTTCTGATGACTTTTAACTTACCTCCTCTCTTTTGACTTCTCCCTACACCATATCAGTGTCCAAAGTGTTGCCAAAACCACTTCGAAAATGCACATCTGTTTCTGTCTCTCCCTTATATTATGCCTTCAAATCATGACTTCTTAAAATGATATAAGGAATTTTTACAGTTGGGTAAAAAATTAAGTTGGAGCCTCCTTTATAATTGTTCCTGTACATTTGCCATCCCTCCAGACTTAAAGAATAAATTGAAGAACTTTGTACAGAATATTGACTTTCCTGTTGATGTGCCATCATTTAGTACAGGAGAAACAACTCAGTGTATACCTATCTGCAAACTTTTCTAATGATAATTTGTGCCTATAGTCCTATACTGATGTGAAGTGTGAAAAAATATATACCAGGAGAAACAAAGGAGAATGGCACCATATAATTGGTAGATTTTCATCCCATAGTTTATTTTCGTATTTGCCTGCAAGGTCTTTTTTCATACACTAAATCAAGCCCTGCCTGTTTTGAAATCATCATCGACACCCCTTCAAAGCACAGTTAAGTACACCTTCTCTGGTTTCACATGACAATCTGATTGCACTGGATTACAGTCAAAACTTTTGTGTCTGTCTGTGCAATTTCTGATGTCCTTAAGGGCAGGGACAATGTTTTTCCCAATTTTGTATTGCCAGTGCCTAGCACAATCCCTGACTTTTTGTAGATAGAACTTTTTTCCACCAATTGTATAATTTAATGAATCACACATATAGACTCTAATGATTACATGAATATTATTAATTGATACTCAATGTTTGTGGTCTAATATTATTTTTCTTGAAATAAATTAAGATATATTTAATATAATAAAATTAAAACTACAAAATAAAACAAACATTTATAACTTGAATTTAACATGTCATAAATTTTTGCAGTAGCAGTAATACATATTGAAAAAACACATACCTTGGTATAACAAAATATAAAAATGAAAAACAAAACCAACCAAAAAACTGCTTAGTACATTCATATACAATATTAAATTGTACTCTATGAATACATACTAATGTTTATGAATTTAGTAAGTTTGCAATACATAGAATTATTTATGTCATTTTATGCAGAAAAAAGGTATTGTATTGGCATTGTTACACATTATAGGTGACAGGTAATGAAGTAAATTATGTTCTAAAATTATATTTTTGCAGAAGTTATCAACATCATTAGGTTTTATTAACTTATTCTTGAAGTCTATAAAAATTGGCAAGTGGATCACGAGGTCAGGAGTTCAAGACCAGCCTGGGCAAGATGGTGAAACCCTGTCTCTACTAAAAATACAAAAAAAAATTAGCTGAGCATGGTGGTGGGCACCTGTAATCCCAGCTACTTGGGAGGCTGAGGCAGAGAATTGCTTGAACCTGGGAGGCAGAGGTTGCAATAAGCCGAGATCATGCTGCTGCACTCCAGCCTGGGTGACAGAGAGAGACTCCATCCCCTACCCCCCCCACCCCCCCAAAAATAGAGGTCTTTTAATTTTTCATCTGTGGGTTACTGTCCAAAACAATGAACCAAAAGAATTATCCCTAAGTAAATTACCCATAATTTCTCCACCTTTAAGTTGTATTTTTTTCTGAAGATAATGGAAATTAGAAGCTAAAGCGTGCAAACTATTAATGTTAGCATATGACAGTTGAAGGTGAACACAGAAGGCCTGTTAAGGTGTGCTCACTTCTTAAGGTTAAGACATAAAGAGAAAACTTCTTACTACATTAGAATATAGGAAGACACCTCTATTCTGTGTCTTATGTGAAGAATAGAGTTAAGAAAGATGCTGCTATAATAAAACATAACATTTTTACTTAATATTTATAAACAACCACATAGAAAATATAATTCTCCAGGAAACATAAAGTTTATTTGATAAACTCTTCAATTAAAAAAGTGGTTGGGTCATTTTAATGGATGGTCCCATTGAACCATGATATCTGAATCGTCCATCATTATTATAGGTATATGAGTATTAATGGACCAGATAACCCCAGTGTGGTATTCAGGACATCTTTATCGTAAGTATTGTTGAAAATACTTCAACCTTTTTTAAAAAAAAATCTATTCAAAGTATCTTCTGTTTCTCTATGAAGAATATCCTTTAATTTTTTTTCTGTGAAAATAGCCTTTATTTCAGAAAGGCACAATGCAAATTAATGAAGCCCTAGGCTCACACATATCAAGAGTGTTTTATTTTGTTGAAGTTACTCCTTGGCTTTCATTGCTAGTAATAAAATTCCTTGGTAAGAGAGTCACACCTGTTTGTGATAAGCAGTCTTGGAATATAACGATGAGTGCTGGAGAAATGTGAGCAATGCGACAACAGTGTCTGTTAAAATGTGCTTTTTCATAGTTTATTTTTATCCATTGTGTTGGGCATTCATTTGACTCTCTAAAACTCATGTCCTTTAGTACTTTTAGAATTCTCTTGATTTTTAAAATAAGGTAATTTCTCCACTATCTTTCAAAGCTTTACCTTTCAAGGAGCAAGAGTTTTAATTTGGGAAATTCTATTTATCATTTTTCTTTCATAGTATATATACTTTATGTTGTTTCAAATATTTTTGCCCAACCTAATGTCATGAAGATTTTCTACAATATTTTATTCTACAAGTTTTGCCGCTTTATCTGTTAAGTTTTAATCTATAATCTATTTTGAGTTAATTTTTATACTTAAATATCAAATTATTTTTGGACTCCCTATTTCATTCCGTTAATCTACATCTTTTTTTTTTTTTTTTTTTTTTTTTTTTTGAGTCGGAGTCTCACTCTGTCGCCCAGGCTGGAGTGCAGTGGCGTGATCTCGGTTTACTGCAAACTCCGCCTCCCAGGTTCCCGCCATTCTCCTGCCTCAGCCTCCGGAGTAGCTGGGACTACAGACACCTGCCACGGCGCCGGCTAATTTTGTGTGTGTGTGTGTGTGTGTGTGTATTTTTCGTAGAGACGGGGTTTCACCGTGGTCTCCATCTCCTGACATCGTGATCCGCCCGCCTCAGCCTCCCAAAGTGCTGGGATTACAGGCGTAAGCCACGCGCCCGGCCCCGTTAATCTACGTATCTATCTATATGCCAAAAAACGTACAGAGCTGATTACTGTTGCTTTTCAGGAACTTTTAAAATCAGATACTGTAAGTCCTCTAACTTTGTACCTTTTGAAAAACATTTAGCTATTGTTGTCTTTGCCTTTCCACCTAAATTTTTAAATCATGTGGTCAATTTCTTCAAAAAAAGGCTTGTTACCATTTTTATTAGGATTTCATTGGATCTATAGACCAATTTATTAAGAATTGTCAGACTAACAATAAAATTTTAAAATTAGGTGTTGTAAATCCTCCAACTTTGTACTTTTTCAAAAGTGTTTAGCTATTATTGTCTTTGCCATCCATACAGATTTTTAATTGATATTGGCAATTTCTTCAGAAAATGCTTGTGACAGCTTTAATTGTGATTTCTTTGTACTGACAGGACAAATTTTGAGAATTGTCAGACTAATAATGTTGACTCTTCAAATGTATGAACAAGGTACATTCACTAGCTAATTAAGTCTTCCTTTATTTCCTTTGCAATGATTTGTATCTTTCAGTGTACACAAAAAACAAAATATCCAAATGCTTAGTTTTGTTGTTAAGGTATGCTCTTTGACAAAAAGAGTATTATATGAAAAACACTAATCTAACATTGTCATCTCTGATAAAACATTTCTTATGAATAACAATGTATGATTTCAATTGTGATAAAAATAATGGGTTCCATAGGAATCATAGCATATTGTGTTCAAGTTATATAAAATTACACCATAGAATTTATATTTTCAGAAGAGTTTTGAATGACCATTGTGGTGATACATGCTTTTTTTTTTCTTCTCCTATGCCATGTTTTGTAGTCATTTTATTCAAAATATATACATTTTCATTTTTGAAGAGTGTTTACCTGGACTTCATTAAATAACCAGTGTATATTTCATTTTAGGTAAGATTTGTTTCAGTTGTAATTAAGATCCTTAGCCTCTAATTCTAGTTGAATTTTTCCCATCAATTCTTCTCATTTATTCACTACAAAGAAATTGCTATAGTACTTAAAGTATCTAATTATACAGTTTTGCTCCCTTATAAATAAATGAGAACATAATGAATACATTAGTAATCAGTGGGTGGATTCACAACAATGTAAGAGGTATAAAATATTTGTACAGCTTGACAGGTAGAAACATTTCTCTACTAATGGTTTATGTAAATTCATTACTTATATACTTTTGATGGGATTCTATAGTATTCTCTTATTTTATGATTTCTTATTGTTAGTATGTAGAAATTCAATTGTCTTTTCTGCATTGACCTTGCATCTTGCAATCCTAAACATTATCTTCTTTGTTAGCTAGTAGCTTTTTTATATATTTCATAGAGTTTATTGCATATGCAATCATGTCATCTGTTAATAAAGATTTTTACTTCTTACTTTTTAAACAGTATGATTTTTTTCCCTACTACACTGGCTAAAACATCCAGTATAATTTTAAAAAACAAGAGATAAGAATAAATATCCCTTTTTTCCTTTTTATTAGTAAAAAGCATTGGGCCTTGCCCTTGGATATTATATTAGCTATAAGTTTTTTAATAGATACCCCAAATCAAATGGAGAAAATCTATTCTCACTTTTCTGAGAGTGGTTTCCTATGAATGAGTGCTGAATTTTGTCAAATATTTTTTTCCACCTATTAAAGTGAACACATTATTTATCTCTTTTGTAATTTTAATGTGGTAATTAAAATTACTGATTTTCTGACAAACCTTACATTCTCAGGATAAATTCTACTGGGTCCATGCTTTTTGATTTGATTTCCTAATTTTTTAAAAATAATTGTGTGTCTACATTCATGAAGGTTATCAATCTGTCATTCTTTCTTTAAATATCTTGTCTGATTTTGGTATTCAGGCATTACCGAACTCATAAAATGAATTATGAAGTGTCCTTTATTTTCTGAAAAATTTTGTGCGTAATTGTAATTTTGGTTTGCCTCAATGTTTGATAGTGTTCAGATGTGAAGACAAGCTATGCACTTCCAATTGAATAAATTTTGGTATTGTCTATCTTTCCAGAATTTTTTTATTCCATCTAAGTTGCCAAACATATTAGAATAAAGTTGCTTATAATATTATTTTATTACTCTTTAATGAACATTGGAACTTATAAAAAGCCACATCTCTCATCCCTGGGATTGGTCGTGTGTATTTTGTGTCTCTTTTCAACATTATGGAGTTTTACCAAATGTATTAGTCATTTCAAAGAACTAGCCCATGGTTTTATTGGGCCTTTTGTTGTGTGTACTGTTTTGTTATTGATTTCTATTCCTATCTTTATTATATCTCTTCTACTTACTTTGTTTTTAATTTTTCTTATTTTTCTAATGTCAACGTGGGAACAATAATTGCTCATTTTAATTATCTACTCTTTTTTCATTTAAGCAATAAATTATACATTTCCCTGTAAACTCTCCATTAGAAGCATCCAACATATTTTGGAATAATTGCCAAATCTCTTTATGCTCCTACATTTATTTTATCTTTGTGAATAATCCATATTCACTTGAAAAAAAATTTGTACTCTGCTCTTGTTGAGTTTACAGATGATTATGTCACTCCTGATTTTTTTTGGCATATTTATATCAATAGTTAAGACAGGGGTTTCAAATCATGAACTATTTTTAAGATTTTAAAAATTTTCAACTTATGGCCAGGCATGGTGGCTCATGCCTGTAATCCCAACATTCTGGGAGGCCAAGGCAGGCGGATCACTTAAGGTCAGCAGTTCAAGGCCAGCCTGACCAACATGGCGAAACTCCGTCTCTACTATAAATACAAAAATTAGCCGGGTATGGTGGCGGGCACCTGTAATCCCAGCTACTCAGGAGGTTGAGACAAGAGAATCACTTGAATCCGAGAGGCAGAGGTTGCAGTGAGCAGGGATCATGCCACTGCACTCCAGCCTGGGTAACAGAGTGAGACTCTGTCTCAAAAAAAAAAAAAAAAATTATATTTTTTAATTTTGCCAAATTTTGCATTACATACTTTAAAGCTCTGTTATTATTTAAACATACTTCTTTTATAATTTTTTCATCTTTTTGATCAATTGATACATGGATAATTATGGAGTACTTTATGTCTGGTATGTATTTTATCTTGAAATCTAGTTTACCTGAAGTAATATTGTTCATCCAAGCTTCTTATGCTTTCTGTTTGTGTGTCGTACTTTCTCTTCTTCCATTTACTTTCAATTTTATAATCCATTCTAATGATCTTCCTTTAAAAGAGAATGTATGTTCTATTAATATTTTTTCCAATTGGTAATATATTTGGATTGGAATCTACAATTTTTTAAATCGGCATTCCACTTTTGTCTATTTTTGACTCATATTCTCTTCCTTTACTGTCTGTTTTTAATTACATAAATATTTTTAAATATCAGTTTAAATTTTTGGCTGGTTTTCTAGGTATACTTTTTTAAGTTATACACTCAGTTATAAAACACATTTTTAAAATTGTACAGTCCACTTTCAGTTAATATTGAAATATTTCACATAAAATATGTAAACCTTGCAACTGCAAAGATATATATGCCTCCATTTTTTATGTGTTATATGTATTGGATTTGTATCCATTGTAAACATTGCAAAGCAACATTTAGTCTTTTGTTTGAAAGATTATGTCATGACTACAGAAATTAAGAAAACAAGAAGAAAGAAAAAGATACTATTTATTACAATATTTCTGATTCCTAATGCTCTTTAATCTTTTCTAAATACATTAATTTATATATATCATTTCCCTTAAGCTTGAAGACATTCATTTATATTTTCGTAGTGCTGGTATTCTGGCAAAGCTCTCTTTACATTTTTATTCAAAATTATTTTTTATTTTACCTTCATTATTTTTAAATATTTTTAAATTCATTTTTTACAGATGATAAAATTATTTGTATTTTTACAACATTTACAACATGATGTTTGAAATATATATACACTGTAGAATGGCTAAATCAAGTTAGTTACCACAGTTATTACTTCCCATAATTATTATTTCTGTGATGAGAACACTTAGAAGCATATTTTCACTAGATATAGAATTCTGGGTTGACAGATATTCTTTAATAACTTTCAAAACCTTCTGGTCTCTTGCTTCTGGTGAGAAGTCAGCCATTAATTGAACTAGTGTTCCCCCATATGTGATGTTTCATTTTTCTCTTCCTGTTTTCAAGAATTTTATTTTGTTCTTAGTAGTTTGACTAAAATGTGCCTCTGTATAAATTCTTCATGTTTATTCCGCTTAGTGTTGTACTTTGTATTAGCAAATTTTTATCTTTCATCAAAAGTTATTTACAATTATTTTTTCAATTATTTTTTCTGCTTTATGATTTTTTGTCTTTTTCTGGGATCCTAATTATATACATGTTATAATACTTATTACTTGCTTGTGCAGATAATGAAGTCTTTTGTTTTTCTCTGATTAATATTGTTTCTTTTGTTTTCATTGGTAATTATTATGTTAGGTGAATATGAACTTAAACTCTGTTGCTGGAGAAGCAGATCTGAGCTGAAAGCTCAGATTTTTTGGTTTGAGTGAGCTGCTCTAAATCTGATCTGCACCTATAAGATTAAGGGATCCATGGGGGAGGGGCAGAAAGAACCCCTCTCCAGCTCTCAGTGGGTGCACTTTCAACACCTTAAAGATTGTAGTTTTTCAGCAGAAGCTACCATTACTCTACATGTGCTGTTCTTGTGGTACTCATTCTGAAGGGAAAACAGAAAATCACTCCCTGGGCCATTTTCCAGGCCTGTGCCCCAACAAAGTCAGTTTGCTATTCTTCCCTCTCCTGTAATTTCAGGGAGTTACTTTTTGTATTTTGCCCATATTTTTTAGTTGTTTTCAGTAGAGGGGATTAATACAATAGGCTACTAGTATTATTCTTAGAAGCACAAATTAATGTGCATAATTTAAATAATAATCTTTATCACTAAAGCAAGATCACTGACTTGGAGTACATTCCAGAATATTTGTTTTGGTTTGTTCTAGTCTGGTTTTCTTTGCATATTAACAGATGGTCCTCTTTAGAGTTCAAACCCTATACTGAGCTACCACAACATATATTACAACTATAATTTTATTCACAGATAGAATGATATTCTGTCTGAAGCACAGTTGTACTGGGAGATATAGCCACAGATAATGGTTTCTATTTGTTCATGGATTCTCAAAATTCCACAAGTTCATTAATATACTGTAAGGAGAACACTAATGAAAAAAATGAATTATTTGGTGGAGGATCCCTGTTTCATACTCATAGACTCATGAATGTCTCTGTGATAAAGAAATCCCTGTATTTCAAGTGAGCAGGAAAGTTAATCTTGACCTAAAGATGGATACACAGAAGTGACTACTTGAAAAGTGTTGAAACCTCTATTTTTTCAAGCTTTTAATTATACATATGGACCTCTTTTTTTGGAGAATTTGCTGACTAGCTTGCTTATGACTGATTTATGTTAAAGCTTCTCAAAAACACTGAGGGAAAGTGTCATAAATAAAACTACTTAATTCTTAAGACACGGAAATTGCTTATTAAAATCATATTGCCTCTGAAACATATTCATCTTGTGATATTTAGAAAATATAGCAAAATCATGTCTTATTTCATGATGATATGCACCTTAAAATTACTGCTATTTCTAATTTTCTATTTCTTGTTTACTTACTTTTGTCTCTGTGTTTTGAAAGTCTGCAGCTAAATCAAAGCACAAACCTTGAAACATGGTAAACAAAAAGAGGTACCGTAGACATTTTTCCAAATGTCTTTTGTATTTAATATACTTGGAAAAAAAGTGAAAACGGGTAAGTAATTAGACAAAAACATCCAACAGGCATTTTTCTACCACAGCTTTTCTAGAAAAAATAATTCACTTTAAAAGATAAAAGAAATAGTCTATAGAAACAATAATTTAAAAACCATTAAACATTTAAAATACCTCTACTTTTAATTAATGAATTTCAAAATCAGAACCACTTAAAAGCTTGATAATACTCAGGACTTGTGAGAGTTTGGAGACTGAAATCCTCAGAATGCTAATAGATCTTGATGAAATGTTTTATAGTATAATTTGATAATTTTACTGCTAGTGATTTACTCTGTAGAATTCTATTTGTACTTGTAAACATATGCACAACATATGCTATAGATCTTGATGAAATGTTTTATAGTATAATTTGATAATTTTACTGCTAGTGATTTACTCTGTGTAGAATTCTATTTGTACTTGTAGACATATGCACAATGTCTACATCTTTGTTTCTGGTAGTAAAAAAATGTCAAAATAATTAGCAGAGGAGTGAGCATTAGTGATGGCACCTTCCTACAATGAAAAACAATGCAGCTCTCAAAAAATAGAGCCATATATATATATATATATATATATATAGGTATCTATATGTATATATATATATGTATATATGCTATATACATATATATGCTATATGTATATATGTATATATGCTATATACATATATATGCTATATGTATATATATGTATATATGCTATATACATATATATGCTATATGTATATATGTATATATGCTATATACATATATATGCTATATGTATATATATGTATATATGCTGATATTGAAAAATCTCTAAGATTTATTTTTAATTAAACGGGGGGGCAAATAAACCTACAGTGGTAACATTTGTATAATAAAAAATTGTGTGTATGTGTGTGTGTTAGCAAGAGAGTGCATGTGCATTAATTAGGTTGTGACAGAGCTCTTTTCCAACCCTTAAAATACTCATTTCTTTTTCATTTCTCAAAAGTTTTCATGCTGAGAAGAATAAAATCTGACAGCGTAACTGAGGGAATAACAGGGAGTATACTTCTCATTTAAATCATTAAAAAGCATTAATATCAGAGAATAGAAAAAAAATTAACAACCTTGAAGATAAATTTTAAGAACAATAGTCAACTGGGAAATAGAAATAAATTTTTAACCCTGAAATCATTTATTAAATGTCAGAAACACTAAAAAATTAGACCTTCCACTATAAAAGCTGAAGAAAAAAAAAACCCAACCCGTCTCTCTCCTAAAATAGACGAAAGGTGATAACAGCATTAAGAGCTGAAAATAATGAAATAAAAACAAAAAAAGGAACCACAAAATCTAGCATTTGAAAAAGATGAATAAATATGATAATCTTTTCATGGCCACTATGAAAGAGAGAAAGAGAGCAAGCAAGCATATACAATTGATAATATTATAAACAATAACAAAGAAGCCACAGATGGAAATTAAAACAGAAATATAAGAAAACACAAAAATAATTAAATATCACTGGATGAGTATATCAGCTTTAAGTCAAAACTTTGTATCTTGAAATTGCATCAGCAGCACTAGTCTTATTTACTTCCTTTGTTGTATATAGTTCTATTGTCCATAAAATTTTAAACATCAGGATTACACAGACAGTGATTGGGTCATATTGGTTCAAGCAATGTGTCTGAATAATAACTTACTCATTAGTAAATTTTTGTTAAGTGTTAGGTGATAGAATATATGAATGTATTAATGGAATTATGCTAAGCCTGAAAGTTAATAAAACAAAAATCATATGTATCTATCCAGTAGTCATAAGAACATCAGATCAAACTTTGATATAAATATTTGGCCCAGAAGTACGGATGGTGGAATTAATACACACTGAAAGAGTCTGTAGATGATTGCTTTTTGCTAATAGTTCATGCTGCTTGTCTTATATGTACAATATCAAAATAATTTGAGTGATTATTTAGAGGTTATCTGCTTATTCAAATTATATTTTGCAAAACTGGCCATCATATCCGTAACACTGATGATGTGTCTAGTGCTTCTTACCCAGCACAAAACTAACAAGGGTAACACTGGTGATATGGAACACTACAGTTCTTTCTATAGTTCTATTCATACCTGATTATGATATGAATAAAATCATAAATGACAAATGTTTTAACGGAAAGCATTCCAATTATCATACCACTCTTTCCTACAGTTATAGCTCCACCTTAAAAGAGGACTAGGGAAGATATGTCCTGTAGTAACTTAATGAAAAATAATTATCTAAATCTCTGAAGTTTGTGAAATGAATGTGCATCCATTGAACCTGACTGCAGGAGAAACACTGTAAAAATGCATCTCTGGGCAAGAAACAACATGATAATAGGAAGAAAAATGAAAATGTAAGATTAAGAAATAACACATCTCTGTCTACCAATATACTGTATGGAAAAAAAACTGATAAGGAAAGAAAAAGGAGGCAAATAAACTTACAATGCAAAAATGAGATAGTTACTATTTTGAATGACGTGAATTACATATCAGTCAAGTATCAGAGAATAAGCTCATTTTTCCTATACTATAATAAAGCTGATCGAGTTTAATGCTATATAATATAGAAATATAGTAATATATGATAATGTACAATAGTGTGTCATTACAACAGTTACATTTTCCTTCCTTATTGACATTTTAGTATTACATTTTTATATTTAAGGCATAAAATATAATGTCTTAGTATATACACTCTCTGATGATTATCTTTGAGTCATCCAAATGTAATCATTTTCTTTTGCAAAACCTGTTTCTTACACGATGACCAAATTGAACATAACAAAGTATTCTACTGAATAATTAGCCACCAATTTGAAAAATGCTACAGCTCTTCTCTTTTTTTCTATTTTCTTTTGTGTAGTTGTGCCTATTTTCTCAAGATAGGAATATCTGTTCCTTTCAATGCAGGGACTTTTTAATGACATAAAAAGCAAATAAAGATGCACTGATTTTTCCCAAATGTTATGCAAAAGAAACAGGAACAATCATTCAGTATGTATCCTTTTCAATTCAAAGACAGTATTGAGAATCAAAATGGTGCACATAATATATTTTACCACAGAAGTTAACATCCTAATCCTCTGTGAAAAGAAAGAAAGAAAGGAAGGTGGGAAGGTAGGAAGGCAGGAAGGCAAGAAGGTGGGAAGGAAAAAGGAAAAAGAAAAAGAGAAAGACAGAAAAAAAGAGTGGAGAAAGAGGAGAAGGGAAAGAAAGCAAGCTTGGAATACATTAAACTGAATGCATAGACCAGAATGAAAGATAAGACTCCAATAACACTGAAAAGACACAGAGAATTGAATCTGTTATAAATGATTTATGCTCTAGGATCATGAGGTTAAAAAGGCAAAAGCTTTAATGTTCACTTATGCGAGAATGTCAAGTCACTGGTCTAGATAAAGAGTTTGACAATAATAAGATTTTAAAAGTGGATATTTTCTGTTAGCATTGTCTGCCATAATAAATAGAGGTCATAAAGCTTTGATCTAAACATATTCAGTGGGGATTAATACTGCAAGCAGATCATTCATCTGAACTTTGAGAATGTACTTACAAGCCAATTTAGTAAATGAATAATGGCATAAAGACTATTTGTGAGTCTCAGAGAAATGTATACCTCTTCCAAGATCTCTGATTTTTTTTTTTAATTTCACTCTAATTCTTTTTCCAGTACATAATGTTTTATTTCAAATTTTGATAAAACCATGTCTTCTTTAGGGTCAAATTTTATAATCACTTATATTAACTACAATGACAAATAGTTCCACCACAACCAGTAATAATAATTGCAAGATAATAATTGTCCTTCAGAACCTCTAACTCCTGTATCCTCAGAATGTTGCTGAGAAAAGTGAAATATAAATTGTAAATAAATTTGCTTTTAAGATAGATAACTTTGAATTTGAGTGAATTGCTTATTTAAAGTTCGTTTATCTTCTAGGAATCCACCTGTATAGAGATTGTTTGACTACAATATATGATAAATAATCCAACTCATTGAAACATGTCAATTCAAAGGACAAGTCGAGTTTGTTTCACTGGCTGTGAGTAAACCATTCTTCATAATTATTTGAGTCTATCTGTAACATATAATGAAAATATTTCACATCCATTGAATATAAAAGCAAAATTAAAATTTCCCTTTGAGTTCCAATATTTTCTTCAACAGAAATGTAGGGACATAATATTAAAAATTGAGTAATTATAACTGACTTGTTCTCAACATCTTTTAATTACTCCACTGCACTTTGATGACTTTAATACTTTCATTGCATTTCAATATAGAATTGTTCATCATATTGATATATAATACTGTTTAAAGAAATTACACAGAAAATGTTAAATGCTCCAGAAGCACCTTTTTGGCAATGGTTCAAAGTTGAACCTATTACTTTATTTCCATTAGACAGTGGTAGGCAGGAGAGATACCATTCCTAGAATCCATATATGTAGGTAACTATGTTTTTGCATGTGTATATATGAAATTCTAGGGAATTTTGACTTCGCATGATACAAGAAGAAAGTAATATCCACACTAACAATATCCAAAAATATATTAAGATTTTAACACAAAGGCAATACTCAAAATTGTTTCCAAAATACATAAAATTTTCTTTTTTGAGAACATCATACAGTCTGGGTGCGGTGGCTCACACCTGTAGTCCCAGCCCTTTGAGAGGCCAGGCGGGCGGATCACGAGGTCAAGAGATCAAGACCATCCTAGCCAACATGGTGAAACCCCATCTCTACTAAAAATACAAAAAATTAGCTGGGCATGGTGGCACGCGCCTGTAGTCCCAGCTACTCGGGAGGCTGAGGCAAGACAATTGCTTGAACCAGGGAGTCGGAGTGTACGGTGAGCCAAGATTGTGCCACTGCACTCCAGTCTGGAGTGAGACTCCATCTCAAAAAAAAATTAAAATTTAAATTAAAAAAAAACCGTCATGTATCATCAATATTTTATAATTTTAAAGGCAATATAACCTTATCATTGTTTCACTATACTGTTATCTAATGAAATATTATCTATCAGGGGCTCATATTGGTTGTTTCCATTTCTGTTTACCTATTATAATTCAACCTGGAATAACGTGAAGGCTCTGGCAATTATCATGAATATGTTTTATAGTAATAAAATCAATTTAAGCTTTCACCAGAAGTGGTAAGAGAGAATTTCACAGTGACCCTGCTGATAATTAATATCCTTCTATTTCCTAATTTTGACAATAAAGAACTTTTGACAATAAAGAAAATATGTTGTGATTACTTTAATTGACAGTTCTGTAATTATTTAATGAGATAAACATTTTCTCACATACATATTAGGAATTTTATTTCATATTTTGAAAACTGCTTGCATCCTTTGCCAATTGTTTTCCAGTTGGTTGTTTTGTTTTTATCTTGGTATACTTTCAAATCAGGTGATAAATTAAAATTTAATAAAATAACTAGGTGATTAAAGTTGTTATATATGTCTTAAGTATACCTCAAATATTGTCTTTAATTTAAATGCAATTATATAACATTTTATGAATCTAAGCATACCATTACCTCTAATCCTCTAATCTAATTCATTAAAGGTAAACAGTTATATCAACATTTTTGTTACCACGAACTGTTCAGAAAGACCTGGCCCATAATGCTATCTACTTTTTACAATAGATTACTATTAATTTACTTATTTTAGCTCTTTATTACTTCAATTTTCCCCTCTGACTCCAATGTTTGGCTGCTTCAAATGCCCCCTAGAGATCTGTAAACCATTTCATTTTGGAGAACAGATTAGTAATCTGTCATCTATCAACTATATTGCTATTGTTTATTTAATTCCTGCTATCATTAGTTAATATGGTTTTACCAGTCAAAGCTTATTTTAAAAATATTCTTCTGTCTTGACCCCTTTTGTACCCCAAAATAAGTCACTTTAACTTCTTCACTGTAATTTCCTAAGTTTAATGGCCAGGATACATCAGTGATACTGAAATATTAACAAGAAGCATCCCAATCTCCTGGAAAGCTTGCTAAAACATGTTTCTGGGCCCGAACTCTAGGGTTTCAGATTAAGTCCAGGCTGAGTGTGGCTCAAAATGTGCATTTCTACCAAGTCCTTAGATAAGAGTAATACATTGCTAAGAAATTCCCAGGGGCTGGCCCATGGAAGGACGATTCTTTTTTTTTTTTTTTTTTTTTTTTGAGACGGAGTCTCGCTCTCTTGCCCAGGCTGGAGTGCAGTGGCGCGATCTCGGCTCACTGCAAGCTCCGCCTTCCGGGTTCACGCCATTCTCCTGCCTCAGCCTCCCAAGTAGCTGGGACTACAGGCGCCCGACACCACGCCGGGCTAACTTTTTTGTATTTTTAGTAGAGACGGGGTTTCACCATGTTAGCCAGGATGGTCTCGATCTCCTGGCCTTGTGATCCACCCGTCTTGGCCTCCCAAAGTGCTGGGATTACAGGCGTGAGCCACCGCACCCGGCCGGACGATTCTTTAAAAACCATTGGGCTGAGTGACTTCTTCCAAACCCAAAATCCTTTCCTGGTAAAAATTAAGTTGGTAAGTATAAGTCTGCAAACAGTTGGGTAAGCCATCCAATATTTCTATTTTATCAAAAATTAAAATTGACTTTCAACTTTGAGAACCTACCACTATAAGCTTCCTATCACAACCATCAGGACTGGAACAAGATTCTGGGATCCTTGAACAATAAGGACTCTCCAGTCATCACTCTTGCATGCTTTTAATAGCTGAAACACCAGCACTCATAGTCTGCTTCTGTGCCAAGTTTAGGCAATGAGCTTTTTGGTAAGATTGGAAACCACAGACTTGGGTTGAAACTCTGTAGTGTACCACTTCAGTATTCCATTTCCTCAAAGGCAAATCACACAATTAGCGAGCTGCCAGGAAGCAAAGCACAGGACAAATGTTCCTCTAGAGTTGATATAAATTTTCTCCTCTCCTCAAACCCCCATTCTCATCAACTTACTTAGAATTTTTAAAACAAGACAGCAAGCTGTGACATAAACTAGCCCAAAGGGAAGAAAACAACTCACGCTACTTATTTCAATTGGTCAATAAAATAAGAAAGTAAAAGGAAAATATATAATTCATATCTTAAGAAGATTTCTTAATGCTATTTGCAGTATTTTCTAGCTCTCAAATTTACCATAATTAACAGAGCAAGTTGAACTTTCTGACTATATTTTTATATTAAATTATCCTCTGCCTTTTGTCTTCTGTTTCCTACAATGCCTTTTTTTTTTTAATGTCTTTTTCCTCTGGTTCCTGAAGGACATCCACTGCTGCTTAGTTCACATAACCAAAAAGCTCTGTGTTGTGATTGTAATAATTTACACTCCAAACATCAATCACTGTGTGTGAATTCTAATTGCTCCAAATTATCACAACACTTGGTGAGGTGATCTCTCACTGTGTTTTATTGGATTTTGTTTCTTTTCATTTGCAATTATGTGTCTAAGCATAGTAGAGAGAGAGAGACAGGGAGAGAATTGCAAAATGTGGTGAATTTTTCTACTGCTTTGTCTATAGTCCCACCTTTGTCTTACATTGGCCTGTGTGCTGTAATTTATAGAATTTTCACAAAGATATTCTGGCCCATGTTTTGTTGATATACTCATGTCTACGAGGGAAGAAGAGCCTAAGGCTTCCTAGTCCACAATCTTGCTTACCCCACCTTTCTCTCTTTGTTGTTCTGATTTACAGTTTCCCTGTTCCAAATGATGTTGAGCAATTTCACATGTGCTTATCATGCAATTTTATACCATCTTTTCTGAAGTGTTAGTCCACTTCTCTGGCTCCTTCCATCTTCTTTGCCTATTTTTTTTTTTTTTTTGGCTTGTGTGTTTTATCATTGATTTAGAAATTTATTAAGGAAATTATATATTTAATTGTCTAATTATCTCTTCTGGCTCTCTTTTTTTCTCATGTAATGTGGTATTTTTATAAAAAGAAGTTCCTAAATTTTGGGAAGCCCAATTAGTCAAAAATTGTCTATATATTTAATGTTTTTTAAACTAATATTTTAAAAAATCTTGTCTATGTTATCAGGAAAAATATCTTCTTTAATATAGTCTAGAAATCATATTATTTTATCTATAATATTTTCATAACCTTTAAGAATTGATTTTTGTATATTGTATAATAATGATGTGATTTATATTTTCTATATCGCTAGTGATGCACCCAAGAAATAGTTAACAAATAGACCTTTCTTTACTGGTCTATATTACTCCTTTGTTCTAAATTAAGTGGTCTTGTGCATACGGGTCTCTTTCTAGCATCTCGATATTTTTTATTGGCCTTTTTGTTTATCTGTGTACCAATATTATATTCCCACAATTATAGATTCTTAAATGTAAGCTTTGAAATCTGTAAAAGTGTGACCCATAATTCAAATCTTGAAGTGTATGTTTCTTCTTGACCATTTTAATTTTTGTGTAAATTTTTAAATCAGCTTTGTTGATTTCCACAAAAATGTATTAGATCTTAATTAGTATTCAATTAATTTTTTTGTTATTCATCAAACTTGCCATATTTCTATAAATGTTATAAATATTTTCAAGAACAAATTTTAATATTGATAGATTCTATTGAGTTTTGGTCTTATATTTCAAAAATTTCTGCTTTTTTTGTTTAGTTTATTTGCATTTATTTTTCTTTTTATTATCTAGTCTCTTAACACTTGGCACATTAGTTTATAGCTCTTTTCTAATATTTTCATTTTATACTACAACTTTAGCTCCAACCATAGGGTTTGCTACAACCTTGTTTATTTTGTTATGTCATATTTATATTATCCTTTTGCCCAATTTTGTTTTGATCCATGGACTTTTCATTTTTTTACACTTTTAGAATCTAGAGACAATTTCTAGTAATTTTTTTGTCACTGAGTTATAATTTTATTCAATTCATAATCCTGGATATAGTACATTTGCCCAATATTCAGTGTGTACCTGAAAAACTTGTATCATTATTGAATGCCAATAAAATTCATTTGTAAATGTATCATTGATTTATTTGTGCATGCTTATTCTGTCAGTTATTGGCAGAGTATTTTTAAATTCCCTACTATGAATATGGGTATGATTATTTCTAATTTACTTCTCTATTGTGTGTGTTCATATTATTAGATGCATAATACTTGAAATTGTTGTATCTTACTGGTAGATGGAACTTTTTATCTTAATACACTTTATTTTTTATCTTGAGTGTTGGGTCTTTTTTGATAAGTCGATTATGTGTTTTAATTTCTATTGATTATTTTTGCTTTTGGTAACGAAACCGCCCTTGCAAAAATTATAACTGAGGAAATTATGACAGTGAAAGAGATCTGACCTAACTGACTCCATCTTGCTTCTAACCTCCACACTGTCCTTGTTCATTCCTGAGTGTAGGCCAAACTAACTTTGGGAGGAACTTGGTTTATAGTATAACTTTGAAACAAAGACAGTAACAGCCCTTTCCCCAAACAAAACCCCCTCTTGCCTGGGAATAAACAGTCTTTGGGACTAACAAATTAGCCACAAGATTAAAAATTATAGTTTATGAGTCACTGTTTTAAAACCTGAGATCAGTTCTTGAGATATTTTGCAGACCCCGTGTTCCAATGCACCAGTTGACACCACCCAAATTGATAAGCTGGCTCATCTGGTCCTGTGACCCCTATCCAGGAACTGATTTAGTACAAGAGGACAGCTTCAACTCCATCAGCAATCCCCACTTTCCAGAGCCCTACCCACCAAATTATCCTTAAAAACCCCAAGCCCCGAATTTTTGGGGAGGTTGAATAATAACTCCATCTCCCACATGGTGTGGCCAGCCTCACATCAGTCACACTCTTTACTGCTATGCAATGGTCTTGGTGAGTTGATTTTATATGTGCAACGAGCAGGAAGAACCTGATGGGCAGTTACCGTAACATTCTCTTGTTTCTTCTTATTCTATTTCTTATTAAAGGATAAAAATTCGATATTTAAAATATAATTAATTTTAACTCTAGGTGGTTCAAATTTTATTTCTGACAAATGGCCAGGAGCACTAAAAATAATAGACTATTTTAATATAATAGTAAGGATTAAGATTTTCAGCTAAACTTCAGTTTAATTAAGAGTGATACAATTTTCAGATCATTTTACACATATATTTTACACTTTCAGCATCTCAATTCAAAGTGTGAATGGTTTGCAGCTAGGGACGACATAAAAAATATCACAGACTGATGGCTTAACCAACAGAAATTTATTTTGTCATAGTCTGTAGGCTACAAGCCCAATATCAAGATTCAGGCCAGTTTGGTTTCTGATGAGGTCTCCCTTCCTGACTAGTAAATGGCCGCCTTCTTGCTGTGTCCTCACGTGGACTTTTCTCCATGTCTGCTTGTGGAGAGAGCCAGAGATCTGATTTTCCTTCCTTTTATAAGGACACCAATTCTATCGGATTAGGACTCTACTCTTATGGCGTCATTTAACCTTAACTACCTCCTTAGAGGCCCTATCCTTAAGCACAGTCATACTGGGGGCTTTAGACTTCAACATATGAATTTTCAGGGGAGGACACAGAGATTCAGTCCATAGCAGTCTGCCTTCCCGACAATCTCCCCCAAAATTATATCTTTTTCTCATGTAAAATATGCTTACTCCAACAAAACAGCCCCCAAAGTTATAACTTACTCCAGCATCAAGTCTAAATTTTGAAGTCCAGAGTCTCATCTAAACATAATCTAAATTGAGGGAAAACTCATCTCAGCTGTGAACCTGTGAAACCAGAAAAGTTATGTGCTTCCAAATTACAATAGTTGGAGATGCCTAGAATAAATAAATATTTCCATTCTCAAAGGGAGAAATCGAAAAAGAAATGGGCAATTTGTCACAAGAAAGCCCAAAGCCTAGCAAGGCAAATTCCATTAGATATTAAGCTCAAGAATAATCCTCATTTGTTTAATGCTCTACTATCCAAGTCCACTGAGATGGCAATATTACTCTTGTGGCTTTGCGGGATGCTTTTACTTTTTCAGCTTGGTAGGACATCCCAGCTCCCACGTCCCCATTGTTCTCTATGGTGAGGAGTGACTAGCCTGCTGAAACCTAAAAGGAAGCATCTTTTTTCCCTACTCCTACTCCATCCCTTCAAACTCACACTTCCCATCCCCATTTTCTCCAACCTGTGGTGGGATTGGCAGCCTTGATGATCTCTGAATTGCCTTCAGGGCCATTCTTCCCTTTTCTTAATGGAGAAGACATTTGTAGTCTTCCTTCATTCCATTCTATTTTTCGGTTTCCTTTAGTCTTAGCTGGCAGTGTTTCTGCTAGTACCATCCCTTTACTCCTAATTTATCCTAAGATACCTGATTAAATCCATAGATCACATCCATACTAACTGACTTATTAAATGGTTGTTCAGCCATGCCCTTGGTGTTCTCTCCAAACATGGTTCTTCATTTTTTGCAATATTGATAGGCTGTGAATTTTCCAAATTTTAAATTCTGGTTCATTTTCCCTTAACAATTTCTTCATCAATCCATCTTTCTTCTCTCACATTTTACTGTAAACAATTAGGAGGACTCAAGCCACACCTTCAATGCTTTGCTTAGGAATCTTCTCTGCTAAATCTCCAGTTTTATCACTCCCAAGTTCTACTTCCCATGAAACACTAGAACACAATTTAACGAAGTTCTTTGCCACTTTCTAAAAGGATAACCTATTTATCAGTCTTTAGTCTTAGGAATCTTCTCTGCTAAATCTCCAGTTTTATCACTCACAAGTTCTACTTTCCATAAAACACTAGAACATAATTTAGCAAAGTTCTTTGCCACTTTCTAAAAAGGATAACCTATTTATCAGTCTTTAGTAACCTGTTCCTCATTTTTGTAAGACTTCACAAGAATCAGCTTTCACATTCATATTTATACCAACATTCTATTTATAAAGATACAGGTATTCTCTAAGATGATAAGGATTTTATTTATAATTCCCCTCCTTTCTTCCTGAGCCCTCACCAGAATCACCGTTAAGGTCTATATTTCTAACAGTAATCTGTTTTTTAAAAACTAGGCTATTTCTAGCATGCACCTCAAAACTCTTTCAACCCATCACCCAATTCCAGAACTGCTTTCACACTTCTAGGCATTTGTTATAGCAGATTGTTATTGCATCCCACTTTTGATACCTAAATCTGTACTAGTTTGCTAGGACTTCTATAACACAATACCACAGACCTGGTGGCTTAAACAATAGAAATGTATTTTCTCACAATTCTGGAGGCCAGAAGTCTAAGATGTATGTTCCAGATGTTTTGGTTTCTGGGAGGACTCTCTTTCTGGCTTGTGGACAGTTCTTGCTTTGTACTTGCCTAGTCTTTCCTCATTGCATGCATCTTCAGAGAGGAAGAGCTCTGATCTCTCTTCCTCTTAGAAGAACATCAATCGTATTATATTAGGGCCTCACCCTTCTGACCTTATTTAACCTTAATTACTTGCTTATAGGCCCTGTCTCCAAATATAGTCATATTAACACTAGGACTTTAATATATGAATTTTGGGACAACTCAAAAATTCAGTCCATGATAATCAGGGTTGCCACCCCTTCACATTCTCACATTCCCTTTTATTATTCTAGCACCAAGGGACTGTCACAATTTGCACATCTTCTGGGCATCCCAGCCTCCAGTCCGAGAATTAGCTAGTATTCCTGATATAAAACTCGGCATAAATGCCAATATTATCATTAAGCATTTCATTCTTCTTCTGAATGTTGGCACACACCCTGTGTAAGCATGCACACACACACAATCTCTGTTTTGAATAAGAAAAGAGTTCTAAAACATTAGAGCTTATCAGAAATAAATTAAAGTAGTTGTTGCTGAAATAATGCATCCTCAAATAAAGGTAAGATATTAAAGTAATTCCCTGTTGTAATCTTAACCTACATTGGCTTGTGATAGGTCTTTCTCATAGCAAAGCTAAGCATTTTACATGGAATAATTTAGTAGAAAGAAGAAAGAAAGGCCAGTGGTAAAGTTAAGAATATGATTTAAAAATATATCTCTCATGTATTATTAAGAGTAGGAACTAGAAACAAATTAATTGGGTTTTAATTTTAGCTCTGCTGTTTACCAAGTGTGAGAAGTTAGGCAAATTTCTTAATCTATTTGTAGCTAATTTTCCTTTTGTGAGTATAACAATCCTACTTCCTAGAGATGTCATGATATGTTATGAATATTAAATAAATCAAAATATGTAAAAACATTAGAACAATGCCTGGTACATAAAACACAAATGTATGCAATTATTATTATTATGTTTAGCATGCCATTATTATTAGCATTATAATTATTATTTGATTGAGCAAAATAATCTAAGGGCACCTCTTCAGATGTTAGAAACATTCTAGTTTAATCATTAGTAAGATTAACAGTATTACTGCTAACTTTTTCTTAATGTTATTGAAATCATATACCATATTTTGCTCTTTATTGTGTACATTGATACACTCTTTAATATATGTCTATTAATCTCTTCAGAATGTATTGATTTTTTGTAGTTTAGGTTGAAGTATATTTTGAGATTACTTATAATAACAATATCCCATTGTCAGACAAGTTACTCTTTCTTTTATGGAAATAAACTTAAAATATTTATCTTTAGTTTTTACATTAAAGCTTCATTATCTAGATCTTAGAACAATGCATGTGATCAAATTAAAAGACAAAGTCACAGAAAAGTTTTCTATCCATGAGTGAAAATAAGGCTATAGAATACCAGGTTACATTAAATAACAGGTACCCTTGTTGAATGATTATATGGACTTTTAAAAATATCACATGGACCCCATAAATATATAAAATACATGTCAATAAAAAATTAAATACATAAATAAAATCAAAGAGGCAGAAAAGGAAAAAAATAGAATGCAAAACACTTGATTACCACTCTCTACCTAAATATATGAACAACTCTCATTCTCTTTAATCTATTATGAATTGAATGTTCTTTCTGTTGACAAAAGACTTAAAGCAATTTGAAACTTGTGATATATGCATTGATTTCCAAAAAAGAAAACATTTAAAAAGCAAGTTGCCAAAAATATGCTATTAATAGTCATATGGAAAACAGCTAAAATGATTAAGACTAAAATGATGAAAAGGCAGAAAATGCATTTACTAGTACCTGTTCACAATAACATTGAGTTAGATTTTATATCACTGAGTTAACAAGAAATATATATCAAGATATTTTCAAATTCCTTAACACTTTTTACACCTGAAAGTTAAATTTTAAAATAGTATGTCTTTCTATTGAAAAGAATAGAGAAACAATTTTTTGTTACTGTCTCTTGATCAAAAGTACATTATTGAGTTAAATAAAAATTGTGAGAACATGTGACATATATTAGCTTTTGTTTGTGCTTGTTGTGGGAATTAAAACTGTAAACATAAATTTATTAATATCTCCTGTCTTCTTTAATGTCATTTCATATTCATTGGAAAATATATTTAATGGGTAATAGCTAATAGCCATGAAATAATGAATTTACTGTGAAAATAAAATATTTCAGAATACAAAATATAATAATCATACATTCCACAGTGCATATATTTATATATATTTTTATGATTTTGATCTTAACACTATTGAGAACAAACTAGATATTTGACAGATTGTGAAATATATTGATAATTTGGGGTATGGAATTTTTTATTTTATTTTTGCATTTTATATTAACTGATTATACGGTTCTTGAAATTGGTCATGTTACCATCTTCATTTTACATATTAGAAAATTATCTCCACGGGGATTAAATAACTTGCTCAATGTCACACCAGGTCCTCTCTTTAATATCTGCTAATAACCATGTTACTTCAACTCATGGAGATAATATATTCATTTCTATTATAATTCCCAGATCAATATTTCTGGGTTTTTTTGTTCTTTTTTTTTTTTTTTTTTTTTTTTTTTGAGACAAGGTCTCACTTTGTTGCCCAGGCTAGAGTGCAGGCATGCAATCATGGACTCACAGCCCACTGCAGCCTTGACCTCCCACCTCAAGCAACTCTCTCCCTCTACCTCCCAAATAGCTGGGACTACAAGGGCTCCCTATGTTGCCCAGGCTGGTCTCAAACTCCTGTGCTCAAGTGAACCTCCCAAATCAGCCTCCCAGACTGCTGGGATTACAGGTGTCAGCTACTATGTCCAGACGAATATTTCTTTAATAACAACTGTCCCATCTCTGAATTTATTAGTCATTAAAGTAATTAAGACAAAAATGAAAAAAAATTATATAGTCTACTTTTTCATGTATTTATTTTTTGAGATATAAGTCACATGCTATAAAATGTTCTTTTTAAAGTGTACAATTCAGTGATTTTTAGTATAGTCACAAAGTAGTGCAAACATTACCATAGCTAATTCCAGAAAATTTCCATCACCCTAAATGTAAGCCCTATATACATTAGCGGTCATTCCTCATTCACCCCCTCACAGACCTAAGACACTGGCAAAAGCTAATCTCCATTCTGTGTCTATCAATTTGCCTATTCTGGGCATTTCATATAAATGGGATCATAAAATATGCGGCCTTTATTTTTTCACTTAACGTTTTCCAATTCATCCATTGTAACATATCTCAGAACTTCATTCCTTTTAATTGCAAATATTCCTTTTTATGAATATATATCATTTTAATTATCACTTCATCAGTTAATAAAGATATGAATAGTCTCCAACTTTTGTACAAGTTCTTGTATATACTATTTCACTTCAGTATATCTCTTGGAGTAGAAATGCTGGCCATATGATAACTCTATGTTTAATATTTTGAGAAATATCCAAACTGTTTTCCAAAGTGGCTGCACCACTTTTCATTCTCACCAACAATAAGGAGGTTTCCATATTTTCCACATCCTTGTCATCGTATCTGTTTTATTTTTGCCATCCTGGTGGGTGTTTAGTTATATCTCATTACAGTTTTGATTTTCCTTATGGCTAACAATGCTGAGCATCTTTTCATATGTTTATTGGCTATTTGTATATTTTTGGAGAAATATCTGTTCAGATCCTCTGTCTAAACTTTAAAAAAAATTGAGCTGTAAAGATTGTATATATATAATGGATACAAATTTCTTTTTTGATATATAATCTAAAAATACTGTCTCCCATTCTGTGGGCTGTGTTTTCACTTTCTAGGTGATGTGGTTTGCAGTTCAATCTTTTAATGTTGATGAATTCTATTTTTTTCTTGTGCTTTTGGCATTATATCTAAAGTCATAAATATGAAATCCTGTGTTGTTCTTTAAGTTTTATAGTATTAACTGATACATCTAGTTCTTTGATCAATTTTGAGTTCATTTTTGTATATGGTGTGAAAATAAAAAATGTATTCTTTTGCATATGGCTATCCAAATGTTCCAGCACCATTTGTTAAAAAGACAACTCTTTTCCCATTGAATGGCTTTAGCACTCTTGTCAGAAAGCAATTGATTAAAGATGTTTGGGTTAATTTTTGGATTTTCAATTGTATTCTATTGATCTATGCATCTATCAGTATGTCTTTTTTACTGTACCTGTGCAGTAAATTTTTAAATCTGTAAGTGTGAGCCTTCCAAATTTGTTCTTTTTCAATACTGCTTTGGGCTTTCTAAGTCCCTTGCATTTATTTCAATATTAATTTTAGGATTAGCTTGTCTATTTCTGCAAAAGATGAAAGTTGAGCTTTTGATAAAAATAAAATTAAACCTATAGAAAAATTTCTTCCCTTCCATCTATGTGATATCTTTTCATTTGTTTAGTATTTCCTTGGTTTCTTTCAAGAATGTTTTGTAGTTGTCAATGTACAAGTCTTGCATGTCTTTGGTTAAATCTATTCCTATGCATTCTATATTTTGATAGTACTGTAAGTGGAATTCTTTTAATTTCAATTTTAGATCATTCATTGCTAGCTTGTAAAAATACATTCCATTTATGTATGTTCATCTTATATCCTGCCACCTTGCTGAACATATTTATCAGCTCTAATAGTTTTTTTTTGGTCTGGTTTTTTCTTTAGGTTTTTCTATTGTTACTATTGTTAACTGAAAAAAACAGACCTTTAAAATACTTCAAAGAGGTTTATTCTGAGCCAATAGGAGTAACCAAGGCCTGGAGAAACAAAGTCTCAAGAGGGCCTGAGAAAGTATACCCGAGGCAGTAGAATTGAAGTATGGTTTTATACATTTTAAGAAGGCAAGAATTACATGCAAATTCATAAATCAATACATGGAAGGTATAACTTGCTTTGACTCAAAAAGGTGAGATATCTTGAGGCGAGTGCTTACAGGTTATAGGTATATTCTGAGATTCTTCAATGTGTAATCAGTTAAAGGTGTAATGATTTGTCTAAAAATTTGGAATCAGCAGAAAGAAATGTTTTAAGTTAAGGTAAGGAGGTCTGTTAACCAATTCACTGTGTCAGAGTGACCTGAAGGGGTGTATGATTTAATCCTTGTCTAACGTGGCCTTTGGTCATATTTATAATTTGGTATTTTATTGTCATAAATAATTTATTTTGTTAGTTTGATGATCTATATTTCAATATTAATGCTCATCAGTTGTGCCTAAACTTCAAAAGAGAGAATATAACAATGCGTGTCCAATCTCCCTTCTTGTCATGGCTGGGAATCCATTTTTAAATTTTTTCTGGGGTCCCCTTGGGCAAAATGGGGTCTGTTCAGTCAGTGGGGACTTATAGTCTTATTTTTAGTTTACATTATAGAATAACATCATATGGAAATAGAGAGTTTACATTTTCATTTCTAATTTCTACGTTTTTTTCTTTCTTTTTCTTATCACGTAAGACATTTAAAAATGACATTTCTTAGTCTTTCTCATCTAGATAGGTCCAAATAACATGTTGAGCTGATGGATCATGTGGAAAATAATTTTAACATGTAATGTAAGCCATTTTGTAAACTGTTTATATAGGAGTTAAAGATAAATTATTTAGGCAGATAGTGAGGGTAAGGGAGTGCTTAGTAAGGCTTTTATTTTAATAAAAAGCAGCCCCCAAACCATTTCTTTTCTAACAGAATGCAGCCTGAAAAGTCAAGCTTTAAGCATACATAACCAAGCCGGAAGCTTGCATAGATGAATGCTGGCAGCTATACTAAAAGCCAGGTACACCCAACATGGTGATTTCTCCCTCCTTTCTCTTTGCCCGTGAAGTGTACAGTAAAGAGCAGACAAGATGGTGCTGGACAAGTGAAAAGTCCATTTGTATAATAAGATTAGGGTGGGGTTTACACCACCCTTTACACAAATAAGGATTACATAGCCTTCTTTGTGTGCTATGTAAACGTCACACCTGGTCGAATCAATCTGTGGGCCCTATGTAAATCAGACACCACTTCCTCATGCCTGCCTATGAAATCTGCTGCAGTCCGCTGCAGGTTGGCTCTTCCCTTTCAGAAGGCTCTCTCTTGAAAGAGCGAGAGAGAGAGCTGCTCACCTCTCTCTTTTCTTCTGCCTATTAAACTTTCTAGTCCTTAACACACCTACAAGTGTCCGTGTCCTTAATCTTCTTGGCATGAGATGAAGAACCCCAGGTATTTACCCCAGATAATAATGTCACTTTATTTGTGGGCTCACTCAGGATCAGAACCAGAATGGAAGGTATAATCATTGGAGTGGTAAGTATGGGAGCGAATCTCAAATCTGTCCTTTAATTTTGAGACTCTCAGCCTCCATTTTGGAATAAAAGCAAAGTAAATTCCAAATACTGGGCCCCCGTCAGCCATTTAAAAACGATTAGCATTGCTGCCAGCCTTACAAGACTTGGGGGACAGGCTTGCTGGGGAGAACAGGGAGAATTCCCCAGTACCCACAGGTTGCTGGGCGTATTGGCCATATTTGAACCAGTTTCCTTTCATGGAGGACCTAGCCATCATGTGGGGCTGGAAGAGGTCCTGGAGCAACTGAGGATTTCTGGCCGCGGCTACCCCTTGGTGTTATCCAAAGGCTTCAGGACTGACCCCAGCCTTCGACCGCCCAGTGGGGTGTGGGCAACAGGATCTGCAATGTTCCTATCATAATTTGCTCCTTTCCTGTCCACAACTGCCATGTCTTTTCCACAACTGCCTATCCTTTCTCTGTATGGAATGCTGTGGGAGTTTTATACTTCAGGGAAGTAATCTTATTAGGCAAGATCAGGAAATTCCATAGTAACCAGGGATATAGCTCAGGGGAATGCTGTTGTAATTTTCTAGGAACAGAGGGCCTGGCCGCCACAGTGAGCATCTCACTCTCCACCCTTGGTCTGGAGAGCATATGGCATGTCAAGGTTACTCTGCCCTTGGTCTGAAGGGCACATGGCATTTCCAGATCACTCTCTGCCCTTGGTCTGGAAATCACGTGGCATTTCAAGGTCAATATCACCACCTAATGGAATAAAAATCATCTCCATGAGGCACATTGTCAGTCCTTTACTGTGACACTGTAGCTTCTCAATTCTCCCTTTTTGTGCCCCTATACTAGAAATCAGGCTGTATGCTCCTTCTGTGAATGGCAAGACTCTGCCTTCAACAATTAGGAGTAAAATGTCTTCCGGAACCAAATTTTAGTTCTGATACTGTCCCTCAACAGGAAAACTACCATTAGGTCCCTATGTTCCTTTAAGGCACCTATTCTGTCTCCAATTAAAACAGTACTTAATTAGTAAGGGGATTTTAAGTCCAGAAGTTAACCAGAAACATTCTCTAAGGGGAAACACCTTAGCACAGGCCACAATAGCAAGATAATAGAGTTAAATCTAGTACCCTCCCCCTATTAAAGGAGCCTTGCCCAAAGGCAACTATTAAATGGTCTTTCCCAAGATCTATTTTTCAGGGAGGCACATAGAGCACACAAATCTAGGAAGTCAAAGTAGAATCACAAGTGGAGAACTTGCTGCATGGTTATGCGTGACTCATAGCATCATATAGTTTCTCTGGTTCCATAGCTTGAAGAGTCATGCCCATAACCATGGGCAGCACATTTAACAAGGTGCTGGGACCCAGGAACCAAGGAGAGAAAACAGTAGGGGGAACACTCCCACTGTCTTCCTTTCCCCCCTAGGACATACCAAAAGGAAGGAGACTAAAGGGACTCCTTTTTCTTGCTTATCTTTCTAAATAGGTAACAGACCATCTTCAGCTTACACCCCTCTGGAGTGCATCCTGAAGCACAGGGACTCCTTTGACCCTGAGACTTTGAAGAAAAAGCAGCTCATTCTCTTTTTCACAAGGTCCTGGCCTTCTTACTAGACCTTTGCAAGCATTGCAAAAATCAACCCAGCTCTTCTAGTAGTCTTATCAGGCAGGCCTATAGAGAATGATTCCCAAAGTTAGAGAAGCAACTTCCAGGGGAACAATCTGAGGATCCCCCTTATTCAGCAATCCTCAAGTTCCCTTCTCATTACAGGACCTTAGGCAAATAAAGGGAGACATAGGCCAATTTTCTGACAATGCTGATAGGTATATAGAAGCTTTTCAAAATTTAACTTAGGTGTGTGACCTCTCATGAAGGAATGTTATGCCATTCCTAAGCCAAATCCTTACTGTGGCTGAAAAACAGGCAACTCTGTAGGCAGCAGGGAATTTCAGAGATGAGCAATATGTCTCCTATAGTAGGTCAAAAAGGAAGAGAAAATAAGGAAAGTGAAGAAATAGAAAAATCATCATTTCTAATAGAAAAAGAGGTAGAAACTGTTGATAACCCTAAATTGAAACCCTCAAATGCAACTTCCAGATGTCCTGGCCCTTCCTGCCCCTCATCTACATCATCAGCTCCAGTTCTACCACCCAAACCCCAGATTTTTCTATGGTATTTTTACTTCCTTCTTTCACAGTTTAAAATGGCTTCTATCTCTTCTTTTATAATGTTATTCCAACCTGGGAGAAGTTAATTTCCCCAAGACTTAAAATGCTTGGCTTAGAGTTGAGCTTGGGGGAAAGGAACCCAGAAGCCTCACATGCTGGCAAAAGAGTAAAAGTTGTTTTTTTTTTTGTTTTTTTTTTTTTTAACCAGTTGAGCTTTTGGCTTCTCTCTCTGTGCAAACTGGTAAAAAGGATAATAAGAATTATTATCTATAGTCTCTGTAAAGTTTTAATTAATGGAAAATGATTTGTGAGATTGGTCTTAAGCTATAGCCTATCTGGTGTAATTTGTCTTTCTTTATGGTTCTTTAAAAAAAAATGGGGGAAGGTAACTTAGGTTAGAATGCAGGCCCAGGACCCCATAAGCCTGCTATTCAAGCCAGCTCAACAAAGTGTTCAGTGATAAACTTGACTACAGGCCTCCATCTTGTTTCATGTTTTTGGGAACATGACCTGTAACCATGTGGCCATACAGTCTTTTAGTCTGTGCCATTTTACAATGGTGGCTGTCTTCTTGTGCTAAGTTAGTTCATGGGTGGGGGCCACAAAATCAGATAAGCCAGTTTATTGATCTGGATGGGGTCAGCTGATCCACCAAGGGCAGGATTTACAAAACATCTTAAGCACTGATCTTGAGGGCAGTTTAGGGAGGGTCAAAATCTTGTAGCCTCCAGCTGTGTGATTCCTAAGCTATGATTTCTAATCTTGTGCCTAGTTCCTTGGTCTGGTCCCTGGGCAAGAGGGACCATCTTTAGAAGGGGCCATTATCATCTCTGTTTTGGACTATAAACTGTAAACCAGGCTTCTCTCAGAGTTTGTTCAGCCTATGCCCAGGGCTGGGCAGGGACAGCTTGGGGACTGGAAGCAAGATGTAGTTGTTTGGGTTGGATGTCTTTCACTGTTTCAGTCATGGTTTTGAAATGGTATTTTCAAAAGCTGCTTACAACCCCTTTGAAAAATACCTCCTACACTGGTGGCTAAGTCATGACCTAGTTAAGGCTTGTTGGTTTCACCTGTGAGTTTACTTTTTGTAAAGTTCAAAAGCCAAAAATCTTAACTGCTCGATGTGGCTAAAGTCAAGTAACAAGGGATTAAAAATATTTTTTTAAAGAGTGCTCAGCTTAATTAAAGATGTATATCCAAGTTATAGGTATTTTTAAAAGGATTTATTTTTTCTTCTTGGATCTTGTTTTTCTGGAAAAAGGTTATCTTTTTCTCTTTTCTTTTCAGTCGACTGAAGTCCATTTTTGTCCATTTTTTTGTCTTGCCACTCCTAACGCACACAAGAGAGTCCCTAAGATAACTTCTGGTAGCCTAGAACTCCTTGGGAAAAAAAAGGAGGTGCCACAGACCCCGTTTTGAGAAAAAAATCTCCATTTTCCTCATGAAATCCCAAGAATTAAAAGTGGATACATGTCTCTCAAAATCAAAGGCCCCATTCTGTTTTGCATTGTGTTCTCTGACAGCATTGAGTTTTGGGTGTATCAAATGACTTTGCATTGGGAGAGAGCTTTTGTGTGTAATAACCATGTAGGAAATATACTTTGAAGGATGGCTAATAGTGGTTTTGGAGGGATACTTAACCCTTTGCACATTAGAATCAGAGAAGCATGCTATTGGCCACCTGAAAGATACGAAAACATCCTCACCACCCATTAAGAGATGAGGAGACTCCCACGGGGGATGGGCCGGTTATAAAATGGTCTGATTGGCTTTGGTTTTCTTTGAAATCAAATGTATGGTAGAAGCACTCCACTGTCTTCTCCTATACTATCTTCCTCCTTTGAGGGATCCAAGATCCAGTATAAAATGGCACCCTTAATTTTGGGGATCTGTCTTTGTCTTCAGTTGTGCCTGCTTATTAGGCCCTAAAAATGCATGCTTTCCTGGCTCTCTTCCCCCAAGGACTCCACCCTGAAGTCAGTAATCCAATTAAGAAACTGACAAATAAAAAATCTTGCAACTGCTGAATCTTTTGCCTGTATGTGTATATATGTGTGTTGTGTGTAATGTCTAAAAAAGAGTTCTAATTCTTGGCATAAAGAAAAATAAGCTCTTAAATAAAATATTTTTAAAGAAAAGAATAAAAGCTGTAATGCCTTTTAGTTCACATCACTTTACTCTTTAAGACATAAAAATAGTCTTAAGGATTACTGGTAAAATACAAGTGTCTTCAAAATGTAAACAGGTGATATCATTTAAGTAAGATACTAGGTTTGCTTAGGGTGTCAAGGTTGTAAAGTGCCTGTTTCACAACTTGGTAAGGCCTCAGGACTTATGAAATTAACCACTATGCTGAAAAAAGTTAGACTTTGTGCCTAGTACATAATCAAAACAATGCACCAGGTTTCACACTGAAGTTAAAAATTGCTAAAAGTTACCATCATAACATGTAATTTAAACTACTAAAAATAAATTTACATGCAAAGTGTGTAAAATCAGTGGAATGTATTTTCTAGTAAAAGATTATGGGAAGGCATGGAAATGTAAAATTGTGCCTAGTCATAAATTATTGTCTTAAATTAGATAAGAAAGCTGAAGGTTTAAGCAAGTTATATAAAGATTGTAAAAATTAATCTGGCAAAAATCCCATGTGTAAACATTAACTAAATTCAAAAGAGTATTATATGGTCTTTTCATGAATAGAGCTTTGAAATAAAAGCACAACAAGATTGTCTTAAAATGCAAACCTGCTCTTCAACAAAACAGTTATAAAAGGTTTGTAAAGATTTCACCTCATGGTCAAATTGGTTAAAATTGAATGGAATTGTCTATAAGGTTTCATTAAAAAACTTGGGGTTAACATTAATAAACTAATGCAAGGGTAAAATTTCTCTTTGAGCAGAATTTTCATGTACTAGTAAAGACTAATAAAGAGTTTTTGACTTTTGGGTCATCGTTTTGGCAAAATAAATAATTTATGGTAATCTGGAATTCTATTTCATAACATCAAGTATTTTAAACTGCTAACATTTAACAGACTTCTCAAAATCGAACTTCAAGTTTCAAAATTGTCTTTCCTAATGCCTGGCTTTCTGGAGGGTTCAGATGGCCCTTGAAACATCCACAGGATTATTTGACATGTTTAGTCATGTGGGATTGTCAAAATGATGTTCAATCTTCTTTAATTTATATTTTGGTAAATAATACTAACATGTTCCAAAATTGTATGGTATTTCTAAAATTCTAATGCCTGGGTATATGCTATCTGTCATAATTAAGGTTGTTATGTGAAGTTATTGTAAACCACAAAGATAACAAAACTTCTTTATCAGTCATGTTTTTAATTGTAACTACCCTAGAAATTTTGTCATTCACAGACAATTGTTGTCTTGCTTTGTTCTTTCTCAAATAATGGTTTATAATCAAGCTATAGAAACTTAACTTGTGTTCTCAAATGCAAGGTTCTAATAGTTTAGATGATTGTCACTTTGTAATAGAAAAAAATGTACAAGACTCATGAAGAGCTAAAGTGTTCATAAATATCAAGCAAAACGAGAGTTTTGACTAAAATCAGACAGCTAAACAACCTTCTTGACTTGCTTGAAATATTGCTGATCCTTGTTTTGTTTTTCAGAGTCAAGGAAACTACTTTGAACTATTTAGGTCTTTAATAATTGAGTAGGGTATACTCCTGTGAACAAAGTTTGGAGCATCTTTGTTTCTCTATGCCAGGTTCCTCTAGAATTTGGAAACTGTGAGTATTCTTAACATGTGGCAATATAGTTATTTGCATCAGTGTAATAAGAATCTATTTTTCTTTTGCAGAAGGATGTAACTGGAAAAAAAACTTGTTGTTTTACCAAGATCTTGACTCAAAGAGTATGTTTCCCTTTAAAGAATAAAGCTTGACTTGCAGAGCCAATAAAAGCCCCTTGGGGAAGACTGGCCTCATACCTTATCTACACAGTCCCCTTACAGGGTTCCTGACCTGTGTTCAGTAAAGAATATCACTTTCTAACAGGTCCAGGAGCTCCAAGTTTATTTTGGGAACTTAAGAGAAAAGGATCAAACAACTCACAGGTATTTGAGGATATAAACCCATGGCTTGGCTCGGCTTTAAAAATTCTTATATAAAATTCCATGTGAAACAGAGTTCCATCAAAGCCAATCCAAAAGGCCTATGTAGAAATAATTATTCTTGCTGCACTTTATGCAAATAATCAGGCCAAGTGTAAAACTAAAGTTTATTCTACAAACAACAGAGTCCTATCATAACTTGTTTTTACCAAAAATGAGGACTGGAAAAATAAATGTGCTCCAAAGCTTATTATATATTTGTCACTAAATTCTAGTCTCATTTGTTGTTTTTAAATTTTTTTGCCTTCATTTTAGACTGACATTGCTGATTCCTGTGAATCAAGTAATGATCTCCTGCAGCTCAGAAGAAACAAACTGGGATAGGTAAAGTAAAAATCTGAATCAATATGCTAGTTCTGGGCAATTATCCTGCAAATGCTGTGAGGTAATGAAAGTGAGTATGGTGCCCATAACTTGGAGGTTTCATTGTTTGGGAAAGTAAAACCAAGGAACTTCATAGACCTCCAAATGAAAATTCTATATCTTGGCAAGTAAAATTTTAGATGAAAATAATCTATTATGTCACTTTTGCAAGAATTGCTATACTCTATGATTTGCAGTAAAGCTATGCATGGTAGCCCCTTCTAACTGAAATATTGGGCAGAGTTTCCATTGCTGTAGTATTTTGCTTAATTATTATTCTTTTAGCAGGGATAATAATTACCAATAAAAAGGAAGCGTGAAAATTTTACTATCACTGAGTCTGCTAAGACTTTTTATTGGGTTTGATAATATGTTGCTTCTCAGCTATGCAAGGAAGGTTATAAAGAAAAGAAATTGTATGTAAGAAAGGATCTTCTATGGTAAATTCTTGTCCTAAAAAAATTAAATGGTTGTTTAAAAATAGTGATGTATAGGACAAGTCAGAAAGTTTAAGCATGTCATAGATGGTCTGTGAAAGTCATGAAAGGATTAATAATTGCAGGAAAAATTTAGCCAAGATTAACACTAAAGTTAGTCTAGCCACCCAATCCAATGTCACTTATCCTAAAAACAATGTTTCTTTTATATACACATTTCAACAGAATCTGGTGGAGGCAAACCAGTATTACAACCCATCAGAATGGCTGACAGCAATCAAACTCCAAATGGTACTGCAGACAGAACCATGCATGGACATGCCTTTCTTCTGAGGACCCTTAGATCTACCCCAGGAGGACGCCTAGCTGCTGTTCCACATATGACTCCCCTTTTCAGCAGGAAGTGGCCAGAAAGAGTCATAGTCCAACATCCCCTAACAGCAGTTAGGATTACCACTCCTGAGGGAGAAGTTATATAGAATTTAAAAAGAAATTATTTAGGCAGATAGTGAGGGTAAGGAAGTCCTCAGTAAGGCTTTTATTTTCATAAAAAGGAGGCCCCAAACCATTTCTTTTCTAACAGAAAGCAGCCTGGAAAGTCAAGCTGCAAGCATAGGTAAGGAAGCTGGAAGCTTGCATAGATGAATGCCGACAGCTATACGAAAAGCTCCAGGTACACCCAACATGGTGACTTCCCCTCCTTTCTCTTTGCTAGCCACATGTACAGTAAGGAGCAGACAAGATGGTGCTGGCCAAGTGGAAAGCCTCTTTGCATAATAAGATTAGGATGGGGCAACCCGCCTTACCTGCGTACTATGTAAATATCACACCTCGTCAAACCAATCTGTGGGCCTTATGTAAATCAGACACCACCTCCTAAAGCCTGGCTATAAAATACGCCATGGTCCACCACAGGCCAACTTTTTCCTTTCAGATGGCTCTCTCTTGCCAGAGAGAGAGAGCTGCTCACCTCTCTCCTTTCTTCTGCCTATTAATCTTTTTGGTCCTTAACCCACCCACATGTGTCCGTGTCCTTAATCATCATGGCATGAGACAATAAACCCTGGGTATTTGCCCCAGACAAAAATGCCACTTCACTGTCACACAAAAAAATCTCCCATATGCAATATTTCTCTTTATTCTTTTTTATGGAGACATTGTTGGTCTTCAACAAAGATAGTTGAGTTATAATGGAAGGTGCCAGTATCTCTGAGTCACTTCTTGTAGCAATCCTGCCTACAAGGAACATTGGATTTTCATTAATTCGTACTAAACTGTTTATGTGTCATTAAACTGTGGTTTTGGCACTATTTGTTGATACAGATAGCAAGAGTGGCAGGAGGCAGACAAATGCCTAGGCAGATAGGGGTGGGTCCCTGGTGAAACCCCACCTCCAGATCAAAGAAATTTAAACATGACAGCCAAACTATAAGTTAAATCCTTGGCAGACTGTGAACTTGTCTTCCCATTTGGTGGGCTTTCCTCTGCTTAATCCCCACCCTTCACCAACTTTATATATACCTACCCTTTCCTAAATGGTTTTCTACACTGTTGTGCCCACCTTTTAGTGGTGTCTTCACTTTAAACTTTTTTGCATACTCACAAACCAATCAGCATGCACTCCCCATTCTGAGTCCATAAAAGACCTGGACCCAGCCACATGGGGGACTTTTCAGCCTTCTGGTAGGGGGACAACCCCCACATCCCCTCTCTGCTGAAAGCTGTTTCATCACTCAATAAAGTTCTTCTCTGCCCTCCTCACCCTTCAATGTCCAATGTATCCTCATTCTTCTTGGGTGCAGTACAAGAGCTCAGAAACCACTGAACGTGGGTACAGTCTATAACACAGGTGAGCTGGGGCACACCAGCATGGCCTGGGGCCTGGGCATTGCTGGCCAGAGGTCCCCGGCTTGCAAAATGATGGAGAAGAAAAATCCTACATCAGTAGCATTTTTACTAAAATCCAGCTTTATTTTAACAATTTTCTAAGTCAAGCTTGTCAACCCATGGCATGTGGGCTGTATGCACCTCAGGATGGCTTTGAGTGCAGCCCAACACAAAATCATAAACTTTCTTAAAACATCATGAGTTTTGTTGTTGTTGTTGTTCTCGTTGTTGTTGTTAGCTCATCAGCTATTGTTAGTGTTAGTGTATTTTACATGTGACCCAAGACAATTCTTATTCTTCTAGTGTGGCTTAGGGAAGCCAAGATTGGACAACCCTGGTCTAAGTGCACTGAAGCAAATAAAAACTTCAAAAACTTCAGCCTCTCCCTAAGTTGTCTAATCCCTATGTGTGTGTTTTTATGCTTGTTGGTACCCTACAGATTGCTGAGGCAGTATTTAATTTTTCTCTTTCTTTTTCTTTTGTGTTGTTCAAAGTGTATAATTTCAACTGTTCTGATTTCCACAAGTTCACTGATTCTTTCTTCTACTAGCCCAAATCTGCTAATGAGCCTCTCTAATAAATATTTTATTTTATTTATTAGATGAGTCAACTACAGTATTTCTATTTGGATGTTTTTTTTTTTTTTTTTTTTTTTTGAGACGGAGTCTCTCTCTGTCGCCCAGGCCGGACTGCGGACTGCAGTGGCGCAATCTCGGCTCACTGCAAGCTCCACTGGATGTTTTTAATGACTTCTATATTTTTATATGTTCTATTTGGTGGGGCATCATACTTCTACTTTCCTTTTGATCTTCAGACATACTTTCCTTTATTTCTTTGATGCATTTATAACTGTTGATTTAAAATAATTTTCTTGTAAGCAGGGCCATGGTGACATGTGCCTGTGTTCACGCCTACTCGTGAGGTCACAGCAGGATTGCTTGATCCCAGGAGTTCAACATTAGCCTGGGCAACATAGCAAGACCCTGTCTCAAAAACAAAACAAAATAAAATACTTGTCTTGGAAGTCCAATATCTATACTTCTTTAGGGAAAGTTTCTATTGACATTTCCACCCTCCCCCCCCCCCCACATATTGACCATACATTCTTTTTTTCTTTATATGTCTCATCATTTTTTTTGAGAATTAAAAATTTTACAACAGTGTGATAACTGTGGAAACCAGATTCTCCCACTCTCTAGGTTTCTTCTCATTACTATTATTGTTTTTTCTTTTGCTGCTGCTACATGTTGGTTGAATTCCCTGAACTACTTTTTAAATGTCTGTATGCTTTGTCATGTGTACTCACTAAAGTCTCTACTCGATTTCGCTAATGTGATCATCTAATAATTAAAGAGAGATTTTTCAAAAATGCATTGGACAAATAAGTCTCCCAGATTTGAGATGGGTTTTAGGTGTGTATTATGACATGCTTTCAATATGTAGACAGGCAGTTTACTTCTCTTCTTAGCCTTCACTTAATGTTTGTGCAGTCTAAAAATCAATCAGAGATGAGAGATCAGGGCCTTCTCAGGTACACACATGCCTCACAGATGTTGCAGGTTAAATTCAAGACCACTGTAATAAAGAGAGTATCTTAATAAAGTGAAGTACACATAATTTTTGGTTTCCTGGTGCATATAAAAGTAATATTTACACTATACTGTAGTCTATTAAGTATGCAATAACATTACATCTAAAAAACATACATACTTTAAATAAGACTATTGCTCCAAAATGCTAATGATCATCTAAACCTTCAGTGAGTCATAATCTTTCTGATAGTGGAGGGTGTTGCCTCAGTGTTGATGGCTGCTGACTGATCAAGGTGGTGGCTGCTAAAGGTTGGGGTGGCTGGCACAATTTCTTAAAATAAGACAATGAAGTTTGCCTCTTAGATTGACTCTTTCTTTCATGAAAGATTTTTCTGTATTATGCAAAGCTGCTTTATATCATTTTACCCACAGTAGAATTTCTTTCAAAATTGGAGTCAATCCTCTCAAACATTGCCACTGCTTAATCAACTAAGTTTATGTAATATTGTAAATCCTTTGTTGTCATTTCAGCAATGTTTACAGCATCTTTACCAGAAGTAGTTTCCTATCTCCAGAAATCACTTTCTTTGCTCATCTATATGAAGCAACTCCCCATCCATTTAAGTTCTATCATGAGATTGCAATAATTCAGCCACATCTTCAAGCTGAACTTCTAATTATATTTGCCTTGCTATTTCTACTTCATCTGGATTTACTTTTTCTCCTGAAGTCTTGAACTACTCAAAGTCATCCATGAAGGTTAAAATCAACTTCTTACAAGGGTCTTTTAACATTGATATTTTAACCTCCTCCTATGAATTATGAATGCTCTTTATTGTTTTTATTCTATTTTTCTATTTTTTTTTTATTGAGACAATGTTTCACTCTGTTTCCTAGGCTGGAGTGCAGTGGTGCAATCTCAGCTCACTACAAACTCCAACTCCTGGGTTCAAGTGATTCTGGTTCAATGTTTCTTTTATATACACATTTCAACAGAATCTGGTGGAAGTAAACCAGTATTACAACCCATCAGAATGGCTGACAGCAATCAAACTCCAAATGGTATTACAGACAGAACCACGCATGGACATGCCTTTCTTCTGAGGACCCTTAGATCTACCCCAGGAGGAAGCCTAGTTGCTGTTCCACATATGACTCCCCTTTTCAGCAGGAAGTGGCCAGAAAGAGTCATAGTCCAACATCCCCTAACAGCAGTTAGGATTACCACTCCTGAGGGAGAAGTTATATAGAATTTGAAAAGATATTATTTAGGCAGATAGTGAGGGTAAGGAGTGCTTCAGCCTCCTGACAGCTGGGACTACAGGTGTATACCACCGTACTTGGTTCATTTTTTGTATTTTAGTAGAGATGGGGTTCACCAGGTTGGCCAGGCCTGTATTGAACTTCTGGCCTTGGGTGATCCACCCACCTCAGCCTCCCAAAGTGCTGTGATTATAGGCATGAGCCACCGTGCCAAGCCAAATTATGAATGTTCTTAGTGGAATCTAGAATGATCATTCCTTTCCAGAAGGCTTTCAATTTAATTTACCCAGATTAATCAGAGGTATCATAACCTGTGGCATCTACAGCCTTATAAATTGTATTTCTTAAATAATAAGACTTGAAAGTTGAATCTACTCCTTGATCTATGGACTGCAGAATGTGTGTTATATTAGCAGGTGTTTATGTTTTTATGCAACATATTTCTATACATTAATCTTTTTATACATCATCATCACTCTTCAGGGACCAGGAGCATTGCCAATGAGCCATAATATTTTAAAAGAAGTCTATTTTTCTGAGCAGTAGGTCTCAACAATGAAACTAAAATATAAAATATAATATAATAATATATTATATTTTAATATAATATATTATAATAATTATAATTATAAAATATATTATAATAATATAAAATTAAAATACTCAGTAAACCATGCTCTAAAAATATGTGCTGTAAAATATGTGTAAATATGGGCTTTGTTGTTTCATTCATAGAGCACAGGCAGAGTCAAGTTAGCATAATTCTTAAGGGCCTTAGGATTTTGAAGGATAAATGAGCACTGGCTTCAACTTAAAATCACCAGCTGTGTTAGCCACTAATAAGAGAGTCAGTCTTTCCACATTGCCTTCTCCATCTGGAAAGTTTTAGATGGCATCTTCTAATAGAAGGCTGTTTCATCTACATTAAACAACTGCTGTTTATTGTAGCCAGCTTCACCAATCACCTTAGCTAGATCTTCTGGATAAATTGCTGCAGCTTTTACAACAGCACTTAGTGTCTTCACTTTGCAATTCTGTTACAGAGACAGCTTATTTCCTTAAGCCTTATGAACCAACCTCTGACAGCTTCAAACTTTTCTCCTGAAGCTTCCTCACCTTTCTTAACCTTCATAGAATTGGAGAGAGAGTTAGGGCCTTGCTCTGGATTAGGCTTTGGCTTCAGTGAACATTGTGGCTGGTTTAATCTTCAATGGAGATTAGTAAAGCTTTCTCCATATCAGCAATAAGTCTGTTTTATTTTTTTATCATTGGTGTATTCACTGAAGTAGCACCTTTACTTTCCTTTGAGAACTTTTCCTTGACATTCACAAGTTGACTCTTTGGTCCCAGAGGCCTAGCCTTCGACCTGCCTTTGGTTTTGACATGCCTGCTTCACTAAGCTTAATCATTTCTGGCTTTTGATTTAAAGTGAGAAACATGTGACTCTTCCTTTCACTTGAGCAATTAGAGGTCACTGTAGGGTTATTAACTGGGCTAATTTCAGTATAGTTATGTCTCAGGGAGTAGGCAGACCTAAGAAGAGGGAGGTGAGAGAATGGTGGAGCAATCAGAACACACATTTGTTAATTAAGTTAGTCATCTTGTATGGGCCTGATTTGTGGTGTCCTTAAACAATTACAATAGAAATGTCAAAGATCCCTGAACACAAATTCCCACAACAGATATAATAATAATGGTGAAAATTTTGAAATATTATGATAATTTCCAAAATGTAACACAGAGACACAATGTGAGTGTATGCTGTTGAAATAATGGTATTCATAGATTTGGTCAATAAAGGGTTGCCACAAATCTCTAATTTAAAAAATACAGAATCTGTGAAGTGCAACAATGTGAGGCACAGTAAAATGAGGTGTGTGTATATTTCCTGGACATGTGTACAGTACACGCATGTGCGTAGTCTTCTTGGTTCCCAGAAATACATCGGCTTTTCGATGTCTTCTATAGCTATCTATACTCTAGCTTTTCCATTTAACTGTTTTGTTCACCTTGTTTGTGCCCCACCTGTCACTGCTGCCTCAGCCATCTGCTATGTTGAACAACTGCATTGAGTGTTTTTACCAAAGGCCCCTGGAAAAGCTCATTCATAATAGGTGGTCTGAAAGGCTTTGGGAGAAGCTCCAACACCATTCGGCCCCCTTTACTGGCTGCTAGACTGCTGATATTTACTAGGTAAATTTACTGTGTAAGCATTGATTTTCCATGCTTCTATAAAGCTGGTGAGAGGGGGATGGTAAAAGTGCAAGTTAAAGTTCAGTGAAGTTCATTGCTCTTATAAATATTCAAATATTCAGCTGTTTTTTAAATAAGTGCGCCCCCTGATTGTTGCAAACTTTGGATTAATTTCCACACTTCTGAGAAATTTTTTTTTTTGAAATTTTTGCCGTTTTCTTCATTGCTTTTATGGAAGAGAGGATTTTCAGAGATTCTTACTCCAACATTTATCCTGATATCACTTGTATTTCTTGATATTTTAATAATCTCAATGATCCTGATACATCAACAAAAATATTGAATCTAATTTTTTTCAACTTTTATTTTAAGTTCCAGGGTACATGCGCAGGATGTGCAGGTTTGTTACATGGGTAAATTTGTGTTATGGTGGTTTGCTGCACAGATCAACTCATCATCTACGTATTAAGCCCAGTGTCCATTAGCTATTCTTCCTGATGCTCTGCCTACCCCTCTCCTCCTGACAGGCCCCAGTGTGTTTTGTTCGCCTTCATGTGTCCATGTGTTTGTGTTGCTCAGCTCCCACTTATAAGTGAGAACATGTGGTGTTTAGTTTTCTGTTCCTGCGTTAGTTTGCTGAGGATAACGGCTTTCAGATCCATCCATGGAATCTATTTTTAAAACAGGAACACTTGCACAAATTTTTAATCTTTCAAATACAACTGATATTGTTGAAAGAGTTTATTGAAAGAGTCAGATGAAAAACAAATATGTAATAGATCTAGCCATAAGATTTTGCTTACTAAAATAAACGAAATCTCTGCCATTTGTTAAACAATGACTATGAACCATGAATAGTCATTCTATTCATCTTCATTTATGAATTCATCATGTTCTCACAAAAGCCAAACAAATAATTGCCATTATTTACCTAGTTTTGTAGATGAGAAAACTGAGGCAAAGGTTGGTAACTACCACAACAGAGCTTAGAGAGCAAGCAGTTGAGCCAGGATTTCAACCCATGTCATCTGTCTCTGAAGACTATGCTCTTATTCAATACCTACTTATAATGTAGTAGCTTCATTGATATGCTATGTTATGAAGACATTTTAGAATTTTCTTATACAATATTAAAACTGAAATTGCTAAGCACACTGGCTTTTAAAAGAGGTTTGAAAATGTTTCTTCATTTTCCTATGAAGTGCCTAGCAATCATTTGAATTTTGTACCTCTTTGAAGATTGTATCCCTCCCTTTCTATTTTTTTTAAATATATTTTAAGATGTTGTCTTTATTATTAATGTCCTGAAATTTTATTAATATAGCACTAGGTGTGAAACCTTTACTCATTTCTGCTCACCATTTGACAGGTCATTTCCTCAGGTCTGGGGAATTTTCTGTTAGTAGTTATTTTAAAATTATCTCTCTATTCTCTTCCATAATGTGACTCCTATTATATAGCAGTTAGAACTTCTTAATCTATCTTTATTATTTAATTTTTTCATATCATCTGATTCTTATATTCACTTATCATTGTAATGAGTTTGTTGAAAAATCATCATAATGATTTATTCAAGAAGTCTGTGTAACAGCTTTCATCCTCTGCTCATCTGTATTGTATGTGTAATTATCTGTTTGTTCATTCATTTGCTTCAAAGAGTGACCTACATTCCCAAGCTCTTAATTTAGTTGATATCCATAACCCAATGGAAGTCAACCATGCTCTTGCCTTAATTATGTGATATCCTGTTTTCTAATTTTGAATTTAAGCATTATATTTAATTTTAAAAATTATCATGATTACTCCATTCTATTTAATCAGGTTTCAGTGTTTTCAATAATTGAGTTCATTGGCTTTTTTCATGATGTTACTTTCCCCATTTATTTGATTTTATGCAGTCAGTTTCATATTGCAATTCTTCTTTGACATTGCTATTTCTGTTTGGGAATCCAGCTTCTGAGAAGAGGCAGAAGTCATTGTACTGTAATTTTTTGCTGCACTATTGATAGCAAAAGCAGGAAATGAGCAGAATCTGCCTTTTTGTGTGATATAATGGGTAGTTTTCTGAGGGTAGTGCTGTTTTTCTCTTAGATTTTTCTTTGTCTGTAATGAAACTGACATTTGTGTTTTAAAAGTAGAGGTCATTTATTGTTGGGAGACAATTCTCCATGAATCTCTCACTTTCTACACCTCTAAGCATTAACAACTCATTTGCTCCATGACTATCTTTTCAGGAATGTTTGTATAAGCAGACATCCCTGTAAAAATGGATAAATAACTCCCTCTGGAGAAAATTAATTTACATTCCTAGGCAGTACTCTGACATACTCTGCACCTGATACATCCCAGGGCAATAAAGATAGAAAAACCACTTGTCCCTCCTTGGGGAGATTTGCTTACAACTCAGGGTCTCAGAGAATCATAATGTCTTTCTCCAGAGAGGGAAATTCCCATGTTTGCCAGCAACCCTGGTAAGAGACCAGTTTCTCTGTTTCTGATTTCCTCTTCTTTAAATATTTCTACTGTATATGCAGTCAACACTTGACACTCATTGAGCCACCTTCTGGGAATTGGGGCTAAGGAAATGAGCACCAATATGTTACTATTTCTGTAATTATTACCAATATCTATTTGAACCCAATGTCTTACCAGCTGAACAATGAGAGTGTGGCAAGCCAAAGTAATAGTTTCCACCTTGCTGATGCTTATGAGCTGCTTAACCCCTTTATTTTGTAGTATCTCCTCTACAATCCTACAGTAATCAAAACAGCATGGTACTGATACATGAATAGACATATAGACCAATGGAACAGAATAGAGAACCCAGAAATAAGGCTGCACTCCTACAACTATCTGATCTTCAACAAACCTGACAAAAACAAGCAATGGGGAAAGGATTCCCTGTTGAATAAATGGTGCTGGGATAACTGGCTAGTCATATGCAGAAGAATGAAACTGGACCTCTTCCTTACACTATCCACAAAAGTCAATTCAAGATATACTAAAGATTTAAATGTAAAACTCAAAGCTATAAATACCCTAGAAGAAAGCCTAGGCAATACCATTCAGGACATAGGCACAGGCAAAAATTTCATGACAAAGATGCCGGAAGACAAATGGAATGTAATCAACCTAAAAAGCTTCTGCACAGCAAAAGAAACTATCAACAGAGTAAGCAGACAACCTACCAAATGAGAAAAAGAAATGCAAACTATGCATTCGACAATGGTATCATATCCAGCATCTTTAAGAAACTTAAACAAATTTACAAGAAACAAATAACTCTATAAGCCACTGTGCCCAGCCTCTTATCCTATACTTTACTAATTGTTTTACAATTTAACATTTTGCATACCATTCTGTGATCATTTTTGAGTCAATTTTTGTGTAAAGTGTGAGACAAGTAGTTTTGTGTCTTCCGATGTTCATTTGTTCCAGTGCATTTTTTCGCGAAGGCTGTGCTTCCTCCACTGACTGCTTTTGAATCTCTTTCAAAAATTAGTTAGGCATATTTATGTTAGTCTGTTTCTGGGCTGTCTATTCTGTTCCATTGATCTACATGTCCCTTTCTCTGCCTATGTCACACAATCTTGATTCCTGTAACTATAAAATAATTTATGAAATTGTATACTGTCTTGTTATTGTTTTTATATTAGGGTAACACTAGATTAATAAGATAAACTGGAAAGAGTTCTTGCCTCTTCTATTTTCCAGAAGAGATTGTGTGGAATTGGTGCTAATTCTTCTTTAAATGTTTAGCAAAATTATCCAGTATAATTATATGTAATAAAAATAGAAATAGATTTTGATTTTGGGGTTTTGTTAAATTATGAATTCATTTACCTTAATATTTAAAGAAATATTCAAATTATATATTTTTATTGGATGAATTGTGATGGATTATTTAAAGAATTACTCCAGTCATGTAAGTTGTCAAATTTATGAGCATAGAGTTATTCACAATATTTTTTAATACTTTTTTTTTATGTCTCCCAGGTCTATAGTGATAGCTTATGTCTTATTCTCAATGTTAGTAGTTTTTGTCTTACTTTTTTTTGTCATTCTTGCTATAGAGTTTTGTAAATTTCATCAATCTCTTTAAGAAATCAAAGGAACTTTGTTTCATCCTTTTTCTCTCCTCTTTTTCTGCTTTCAATTTCATTGATTTCTTTTTTGAAAGAAATGTAATAGAATACATAAATTTGCAATTCTTTATTATGATTATGAATATGATTATTTTAAGATGGGTTCTTGCTATGTTTCCCAGGGTGGAGTGGAGTGGCTTTCACAGGCACAATTATAGTGCACTACAACCTTGAACTCCTGGACTCAAATGATCCTCCTGTCTCAGTCTCTGGAGTAGCTAGGACTACAGGCACATGCCACCACACCTGGCTGATTTTTGCTATTATATTTATTTCCATTCTTCTGGGTGTTTTGTGTTTATTTTGCTTTTCTTTTTTGGAAGAGACATGAGATGATAGCTTTGATTATTTATTTGAATTTTTTATCTTTTCTAGTGAGTGAGCATTTAGTAATTATATATTTCCTTCTCAAAATTTGTAGTTGGGTCTCAGACATCTTGCTATGTGTATTTTTATTATTTAGTTCAATGTAATTTTTAAAAATTATCTTAGGACTTCTTTATTGGCTTATGGATTACCTAGAAGTTTATTTCTAGTTTCCAAGTTGTTATAGCTTGGGTGTTTGTCCCCTCAAACCTGCTGTCGAAATCTGATTTGCAATGTTGAAGATGGTACCTAATGGAAGGTATTTGGGTCATGGGGTAGGCTCCTCATGAATGGCTTGGTGTCATGGTAACGACAGAGCTGTAGCTCTGTTAGTTTCTGTGAGAGCTGATTCTGAAAAACAGCTTGGAACCTCCCCCCGTTTCACTTGCTTCCACTTTCGCCATTTGATCTCTATACATCCGGGCTCCTCTTTGCCTCCACCAAGAGTGGAAGCAGCCTAAAGCCCTCATCCAAAGCAGATGCCGGCACCATATTTCATGGACAGCCAGCAGAATCACAAGACAAATAAATCTTGTTTCTTTATAAATTACTCAGCCTCAGGTATTCCTTTATAACAACACTAAACAACTAAGACACAAGTGTTTATAGATTATCCTATTATTTTTCTGTTATTGGTTTGTACTTTGGTTCCACTGTGGTTAAAAATACACATTCTGTATGAGGCTAGACTTATGGCTCAGAATATGGGCTATCTTGGGATATATTCCAGGAGTACTTGAAAATATTGTGGATTCTGCTGTTGTTGGTCCAATTGTCTTATAGTTGTCAATTAGATATTTTGGCTGGTAATAATATAGATTTCTTCTGTATTCTTGCTAATTTTCAGTGTAGGTGTTCTATCGATTTTGGGGATAGAGGTGTTAAAATCTCCAAATATAGTTTTGGGTTTGTCTATTTTTTCAGTTCTGTCGATGTTTGCTTCTCATAACTTGCAGCTCTGTTATTTGGTATATATACACTTAGGATTGCCATGTCTTCCTGGAGTATTGGCCTTTTCATCAGTGTATAATGTCCCTATCATTTCCATATATACAAACACACACGTGTGAATGTGTGTGTGTACACACATGTATATTACATATATTTGTTCTGAAGTCTACTTTATCTGATATTAACAGAGCTAGTCTTACTTTCCTTTGATTAATACTTGTATTATATGTCTTTTTTCATTCTTTTATTTTCAAGTTGTATATGTTATATTTGAAGTGAGTTTGCGAACATATGCAACTCACTCATAACACGTTCAAAACTTAAAAAATAATTCAATCTATCTTTTGATTGGTGTATTTAGACCATTTTTTATGTTTAATGCAATTATTTCTGTGTTGGGGCTTAAGTCTGCCATTTTATTGCTCGTTTTTTGTTTCTTCTGTTTTTTTTGTTTGTTTGTTTCTATTTTCTTTTTTCGACCTTTATGTAGGTTACTTGAATAATTTTTAGAATTCAATTTTGACTTATCTATATATGGCTTTTGGGTGTCTTTTGTATAATCGTTTCAGTATTTACACTATTACATTATATATACCAATTTTATGTATAAGACACTACTCTATTGATATTTATTTACAAAATAAAGTGAAGCACAGAAAAAAAAAAGTGGGCAAAGGACATGAACAAACACTTCAAAAGAAGACATACATGTGGCCAACAATCTTATGAAAAAAAGCTCAAAACCAGTGATCATTAGAGAAATGCCAATCAAAACCACAATGAGATACCATCTCACACCTGTAAGAATGGCTATTATTAAAAGGTAAAAAAAAAATAATGGATGCTGGCAAGGTTGCAGAGGAAAAGGATCGCTTACACAGTGTTGGCGGGAGTATAAATTAGTTCAGCCATTGTGGAAGACAGTATGGTGATTCCTCAAAGACCTAAAGGCAGAAATACAATTCAACCCAGCAATCTCATTACTGGGTATATCCCCAAAGGGATATAAATCTTTCTATTATAAAGATACATGCATGTGTTCATAGCAGTACTATTGACAATGACAAAGACATAAAATTAACCTAATTGCCCATCAGTGATAGACTGGATTAAAAAGTGTAGTATATATACACCATGGAATACTATGCAGCCAAAAAAATACCAAGATCATGTCCTTTGTAGGGACATAGATGGAGCTAGTAGCCATTATTCTTAGCAAACTAACGCAGGAACAGAAAAACAAATACCACGTGTTGTCAGTTATAAGAGGGAGCTAAATGATGAGAACCCACAAACACAAGGAGAGGAACAACACACACTGGGGCCTATCTGAGGGTGGAGGTTGGGAGGAGGGAAAGAATCAGGAAAAATAACTAATAGGTTATTTTAATAGGCTTAATACCTGGGTGATGAAATAATCTACACTACAAACCCCCATGACACAAGTTGACCTATGTAACAAACCTACACATACAGCCCTGAAATGAAAGTTAAAAAAAAAAAAAGATTGTTGATCTACGGTTGAGATGCATTTGCAAATAGCAGAAGCCCATTTGCAGTTAACTGGAGTATGTTCAAATACATATCTTCTTTCTGCCATACAAAAAACAAACATTATATTTGTTGCCTAATTGAGAAACATGTAAAAATCACTGAGTGTGAATAAGAACATTATACGACTTAATGAGCATGGAAAATAAGTGATTCTACAACTACAGAAAATACTGGTTTTGAGGTCTTTTAGGCTTTACAAGATATGATAATTTCTTTCATAATTCTGAGGTCTGTATTTTTACACTGTTTTTTAAAGTATATATATTTTTTCACTGGCTTGTTGGAGGGCAGCGCTCCCCTGAGTCTGTTTCTTATTTCTCCCAGAGAGTAAATTAAACACGTTATATAATGTAATCACATAAAAACAACTCATAACTCAGAGTCCAAGAAATAAACATCAAAATCAAAATGCAGTTCACACACACACACACATATACACATATATGTATATATGTATATACATATATGTGTATATATACACATATGTGTATATAATACATATATATTATATATACATGTGTGTGTGTTCATGCATGTAATGTATAATACAAAAGCCCAGTCTGGTTTGAATGAGTTTTTTTAATACTGTTTTTGTTTCTGTTTATATGTTGCTTTAAGTAGTGAAAATGTAAAACTTATTAGGACATATGTTCCTATTTTATCATATTTTTTCTTATTGGCCTTTTGTATATTACCACATGCTTCTCTATTACTTTACACCCCAGTCCATGAAGAATCAGACTGCCTGTGAAGCAATGTCTTGATAAAAAAGAAACCATCCAGCCAAAGCATATCCCTTAGCATCTGGCTTGGGAAAATAGAAGACAGTCTAAGCATTTCTGCACATCTGTATCAAAGATAGTGGAGTTAGTATCATTTGTTTGTTTCCTTTTTACAGTTTAAAAAATAAAAGCTGATGCATTTGAAGCTTACAATGATGATAGCAAATATTCCAAAGGCTTTCATATGCAAAATATTTTAATTGCTGAAGAGCTAGAATAAATTTTGGCTCACTTGCATTAACATTTCTCTTCTTGGGACTTTTGCTTCATTTTTCACAAAGTTTGCATTATTAGTGCTTTGACAACCTTTGCATAAGATTTCTTTCTCTTGATCCCCTGAACAGTAGATAGACAAAAAAAACAACTCACGCTGAAATTGAATTTCATAATTAGTCTTCAGGCTATAAGAATGTTCTTAGAAGTTTTACATAATAACTGATAAATCAGCAAATCAAATCTATTCCATTTTGAAGTGTCAGGCTTTTAAATTCTTAGGAAATTGTCTTGTGATATGAAACCTGAAGAGATATGAAGATATAATTAATACAGTATTTCCCCTAGAAAAAATATTTCTAATATTTATTGTAACATCAATTACTAGCAACTTCAATGCTGGTGATCTCTAGTATTTGTGTTTCTCTTCTTTTCCAGGGAGTTAAAACTAAATAACTTTCACAGCCTCATTTATAATTTTAGATGAGGCCACGAAACATATTTCTGGCTAATACAAGGTAAGCTGAAATATGTATGCAACACAAAGGAATAGCCTATTAAAAAAATTCTGTGTGATTTTAGTTCTATCTTTCCACAACTCCCAGTCAGAGAGAGAGGCACCAATAGGGGAATTCTGGGGCTGCAGGGCATGACAAAGCCACAACGTGGAAGGTGCCCCAACTCCTGCATTTCCTTGCATATTATAGAGTGAAAAATAAATGTATATATTAAACCCACTTAGATTTTGGGTTTGATAGCAACTATCCTAGTGATAGCAATTATGCAGACTCCATTTCTTTGATTACCCTGGCTATTCTTGGCTCTTTAAATGTCCATAAAAATTTGGAATCAGTTGGTAAATTACCACACACACATATACATGTGTGCATATACACACAGGAAACACCTTATAGAATTAAGATTTCAAGTGTATTGAATCTATTTACAGGTTAATTAGAGAATAATTTACAACATCACATTATTCATACCTCCAACTTAAGACCATCAGATATCCCTTAATTAACTTGAACTTGCTTTTTTACCAATAATGCATTGTAGTTTTCTATGTAGGTGTGTTATATATATTTTCAATAAATATATTCTACATATTTAATGATTTTGATATTTCCAAATGATATTTTTTGGAATTTCATTTTCTCATGTTTTATTGCTAATATATTAAAAATCAATATTATTTTCATTTTTAACTTGTTGAGTTATAATAACACATATAGCAAAGTGCAGTAATCTTAAAGGTACAGCTTGTTGAAATATTGTGTATATATGTGGGAATGTAATCAGCACAGGGATCAAAATAAAGAACATTTCCAGAAGCCAGGGAGTTCTCATATGCACTTTTCCTGTAAATAACCATTTCTGCATGAGGTAACCCTTATTCTAACTTCCGCCATCTTATATCATATCATCTTATACTATCTACATAGTTTTTACATATATATAAATGAGAATGTACAGTCTGTACTCCTTGTTTCTTGCTTTTTGTGTTCAATATAAAGTTTGAGATTCATCTATATTATTGCCTGTAAAAATAGTTCATTCATATTCCTGGTTGTGTTATACACAGTTGCATGAATATATCTCAACTTAGTTATTCATTCTCTTGTTAATTAAAATTTACAGAGGTTGTTTCTAGTTTTTGTCTATCAGGAAAAATATTTTTAAAGTAGCAACCATTCATTTGCCTTTGGGATATACCTAATAAAGTTTCTGTTTCATCAGAGATTCTTGTGTTCAGCTTTGGCGGGCGTCACAAAACAGGTTTTAATAGTGTTTATGCCAGTGTGCACTCCTTGCAGCAATCTATGAGAGGCTTAGTGGCTCCACATTCTTGCCTACATTTCATATTGGAAGGTTCTTTTTTAATGTTTTTTTATTCACTTAGCCATTCCAGTTGGTATGATATGGATTTATTGTGAATTTAACTTCTATTTTCCTTTTGATTTATGATGCTGAGTACATGTGTATGTGCCTAATAGTATTTGGATATCCTCTTTCATGAAGTCTCAAGCTTTGGTAAAATTTGTACTAATTTTTTTAAGGTTCTTTGTGTATATTGGAGGCTGGATTTACCTTTCACTCCCATATTAATGAATTCTGATGAGTAGATATTTTAGTAAAGTCTGTTTTGTCAAATTTTCTTTCATAATTGTATATGTCTCATTTTAAATAAACATTTTTCTACCTCATAGTCATGAAAACAATCTCATGTTTTCTTCCTGGAAATATATTGTTTTACCCCTCATATATATATGTCTATTATTCATCTTGAGTTAGTTCTTGTGTATGGTGTTTCATGGGGAATAAAGTCTATTTTTTCCGTATGGATGTATGAGTTGATATGAATCATTTTTCAAAAGGCCATCCCTTACCCATTAAATTACATTGGTGTCCTTATCTTAAACCAAGTGACCACATATGTGTATGTCTATCTGAAAGGAATCTCCTTTCCTTCTGTTGGTCTAATTGTACATTTCTTTGTTGTTATCATACTATCTTAATTATTGTAACTTAATAGAAATTCAGAGTTCTCATTATGCATGCCTTCAACCTCATTTTTTTAAATAGTGTTGGCTATGCTGGGTTTGAGTTTTGATAATTTTTTAGAATCATCTTATAATTTTATGCAAATAAAATCTTCAGAGTTTTGATTGGTATTGCCTTAAATCTGTAAGTCAACATGAAAATGTCTGTCTTAACATTTAGTCTTTCAGTCCATAAGTGTGGTCTACTTCTCTGTTTCAGTAGATCTTCGAATTTATTTTTCTGTTTTGAGGTCTTTGGAGTTTGATATTTTTTCGTGTTTCATAATATTGTTGTTTCCTAAATGGTATATTTTTAGCTAGTTTATAAAAGCACATGGCGGCTTGTTTCACATTGAACTCATATCTGGTGACCTTGCAAAATTCACTCATTAACTCCAGTAGTTTATTAATTATTCCTTGTTTTCTACTTCCACATTTATTTTATCTGAGAATAATGACAGTAGTGTTCCTTTCTTTTCAATCATTATATTTCTGTTTGAGGGGACTTTTATACCAGATAGGATATCCAACACAATGTTAAAAAGAAGTGGCCAATAATTATAGTCTCATTCCACACTACTCTAGTCTCCTTAGGAAGACAGCATTCAATATTTCACCATTAAATATTGTTTGCTGTAGGTTATTTTGTAAATATTCATTGTCAGAATAAAAAATAATGTAACACACTTCTAAGTTTGCTGAGGTTTTTTTTTAGAAAATCATAAATGGGTCTCCTTTTTATCAAACTTTTTACAACAATTGATATCATAAGCCTTATTCAGATGTAATATTAACAAATAATGATTGAATTGTGAATATTAAATGAATTTGCATAATTGGAATAAAGATCATTTTGTCATTATAAATTATTCTTTTTACATATCACTGGTTTGTTAATATTTTATTTAGAGTTTTTCATCTATGATAATGAGGAGCCTTTAATTTTACTTTTTGCAACTTTCAGTTTATGTTATTGAGATTATGCTGTGCTTAGGAAGTAGTTTAAAGTGTTTCTTCTTTTTCCGTTAACTGAAGTTTTTATGTAAGTTTAATATTGTCTCACATATTTTGAAGAATTCAGTTGGGAAAACAACTGGGTTCAAAGTTTTCTCTTCTGTGTAATTTTTAACTGCTGGTTAAATTTCTTTAATAGATACAGAGATATTGAGACTTTTTACTCCTTATTTGATTAGCTTTTGCTAATTTTCCATAAGTCAAGTTAATCTAAATTTTAAAGTATAGTGATGTTTTATTGTTCATAATATACTTTTTGCTTTCTTTATTTTTTCAATATTTATAGTTTCAGTACTTACAGCCCTCTTTAATTCACAACATCATTGGTAATTTGTTGTCTCTCAATTTCCCTCTCTCTTCTTTTACTGATTAATCGATTCATTGATTATTGTTTGTATTGCTTTTAAATTATCAAATTTATTAATATTTTGAAAATGGTAATTTTTCAAATTGCCAATTTTATTTTTTATGTCTTTTTACAATTTATTGATTCTGCCATTTTATTAGTTTATTTCTAGTGTTTTCTCTGATTGTGCTATGCTGTTCTTTTAAGTTGTTGAAATAAATGCTGATATAATTGGTTACAGCCCCTCTTCTATTTACTGCATCCCAGAAGTTTTGATATGCCATATTTTGCTTGTATACAGTTTAAAATATATTTCCATTATATTTTATTTTTAATAAATTGGTTATTTCAAAATATAGTTCTTAATTTTCATATATGGGGCATTTTCTTGTTATCTTTCAAAAGTTGATATCTAGCTACATTCCATTGTGCTAGAAAAATTATTCATATACATTATTTGAAATTTGTTGATTTTGCTTAACAACACAAGTTTTTTCAGTTATTGTTCTACATATATACTCTATAAAAAGTTGTCTTTCGTAGTTGCTAGACATAGTGTTTTATACGGCAGTTAGAGAAATTTTTCTCATTGTGCAGCTCACATATTCTGTAAACTTACTAACATTTGGTTTGGTTGTTTGGTCAGTTCCTGAGAGAAATTAGTTTAAAAATCAAAAAACCCCATCTAAAAGTGGGCAAAGGATATGAACAGACACTTTTCAAAAGAAGACATTTATGTACCCAATAGACACATGAAAAAATGCTCATCATCACTGGTCATCAGAGAAATGCAAATCAAAACTGCAATGAGACACCATCTTACACCATTTAGAGTCGTGATCATTAAAAAGTCAGGAAACAGCAGGTGCTGGAGAGGATGTGGAGAAATAGGAATGCTTTTACACTGCTGGTGGGAGTGTAAACTAGTTCAACCATTGTGGAAGGCAGTGTGGCAACTCCTCAAGGATCTAGAACTAGAAATACCATTTGACCCAGCCATCCCATTACTGGGATTGTAAATCCCAAAGGATTATAAATTATGCTACTAGAAAGACACATGCACATGTATGTTTATTGCGGCACTATTTACAATAGCAAAGACTTGGAACCAACCCAAATGTCCATCAATGATAGACTGGATTAAGAAAATGTGGCACATATACACCATGGAATACTATGCAGCCATAAAAAAGGATGAGTTCATGTCCTTTGTAGTGACATGGATGAAGATGAAAACCATCATTCTGAGCAAACCATCACAAGGACAGAAAACCAAACACTGCATGTTCTCACTCATAGGTGAGAACTGAACAATGAGAACACTTGGACACAGGGCGGGGAACATCACACACTGGGCCTGTCATGGGATGGGGGGAGGGAGGAGGAATAACATTAAGAGAAATACCTAATGTAAATGAAGAGTTAATGGGTGCAGCACACCAACATGGCACATATTTACATATGTAACAAACCTGCACGTTGTGCACATGTACTCTAGAACTTAAAGTACAATAATAATAAAAAACTCCATATATAATTATAAATTTGTTGATATGTCCATGAATTGTAAGCTTGTTTATTAAATATTTTGAGTTCATTTAGTTAGGTACATAAACATTTAGCCTTGCTTTACTATCCTATTAAATTGACTATTTTATGAAGACTAAACAGCTTTCCTTATAACTAGCAATGCTATAGCTTAAAGAGTATTTTGTCTGATATAATACAATGGCTTCACTTAGTTGATATTTTCATGTTATAGCTATTTTTATCTTTTTAATGTCAACTTTTCTGTGTCTATAGCTTTTATATGTTTATTTTCTAATTAGCAGTCTTGCTCTTATTAGTAGCACTCCTGGTCTTTGGATGTGTGTGGTGGGGGGAGGAGATCATTTATATTAATTAAATGTAATTCCTAATAATTCAATATTTTTCTGCTTGTTTTATCTCTTTGTCCAGTTTTTTTGTCTTGCCTTCCTTAAATTTATCTATGGTTTGTCCTTAGTAAGTTTTCATACCCATTATTTTGTTATGTATTAATTTTCTTTCCTTTAATGCTTACCCTAAATTTTGCAACATGAATCCTAAAATTACTACAATGTATTTTAATTTGTAATCATTCTAAATAATGCAAAACTTTGTGACATTTTAACCCATTTAATCTCTCTAGGCTTCATGCTATTATTACCTTATAATTTACTTATCTCTATATATTATTCCCACAAAAAGTAATTATTATGGTTTTGAATAATTAGTATTCATTTATATTTATGTTCATGTGTACTCTTTCTGGAATCTTAAATTCTTTATTACTTGGCTTTCATCTGAGATCATTTTCTCTCTCCTTAGGTAATTTATTTTATTTTTTAAGTACCAGTGGGCAACAAAAATTGTCTCTATTTTTTGCTTATCTAAAAATATCTATATTTCACCTTAATTTTTTGAAGGTAATTCTTTCTTGGTATAGAATTCTATGTTAGCAGGGGTTTTTGCTTTATTTTATTTTGTTTTATGAAGCACTTTAGATGCTGTTTATTTTCCAAATTTATTTATTTAAAATCATATATAAAATTGTATGTATTTACCATATACATGGCGTTTTAAAGTATATATACATTGTGGAATGGTTAAATCTAGTTAATTAAAAATGTATTACCTCACATTTTTATTTGGTAAGGCACCAAAATACATAAGGAACTCAAACAACTTAATAGCAATAGCAAGAAAACAGATAACCCAATTTAAAAAGTGGACAAAAGACCTGAATAGACATTTCTCCAAAGAAGATAAATAATAACTGTCAAATGTATGACAAATCAACAGGGAAATGCAGATCAAAATCACAATGAGATATCACCTCACTATGGTTAGAATGGTAAATATATATATATATAGTCATATATATCTTTTATATATATTTATATATATCTTTTATAAGTTGTTTTATTATCCTCTGGTTTTTGAAGATCACATATCATATGTACTTGCTCATTTAAAGGTCATACATCTCCCACCATCCTTAGCCTTCTGGCTGCTTTTAAGATGTTCTGTGTGAAGTTTTCAGTAGATTTCCTATCATGTACTAGGCATGATTCGTTTTGTATTCTTTATGATTGGAGTCCATAGATATTCAAATTTTGGTCTAATTTCTTTTCTCAGCTATGGAAAATTACTATTTTTTCAACAATTACTTGTGCTCCATTTTTATCCTATTCAATTGAGACTTCAATGACTTACAAGTGTTTTTTTATTATTTAATTTTTGTTTTGTCTTGTTTCACTGTGCCAAATATAGCTTTTATGCTCTTTAATGTATGTCTGTTCTCTGTGAATCCATTTGGACATTTTATAATTGACTAATCTTCCCTCTTTCTACATCTAATCTATTATTATAGCAACCTATAAAATTCTTTATTCCCATCCCTTTCTTATTTAATAGATTCTAGCTTTATGGTAAATTTGCTCAGTTTTTTTCTATTTTATTGTATTTATCATATTTGTTTTAGTTTTAATTATTATTATTTTTGAGAGACAGTCCCACTCTGTCACCCAGGATGGAGAGCAGTGGCGCCATCTTGGCTCACTGTAACCTCCGACTCCCAGGCTCAGGTGATTCTCACACTCCTGGACTCAAGTGATTTGCCCACTTTTGCCTTCCAAAGTGCTGGAATTACAGGGGTGCACCACCACACCGAGCCTGTCATATTTATTTTTAAAGTACCTACTAGAAAAGTCCAATATGTGGATCTTTTGTGGCTCTCTATTGTCTATATTTTCTCTTAAAAACATCTTTAGCATTGTTTTTTGGAATGCATAATAATTTTTAAAAATTTGGACATTGTTTATGAAAAATTACAGTAACCACAGCTGATGTCATCTGCACCAAAAAAAAAAGATTTAATTTGCTTTTGCCAAACGGAATTATATGGTATATAGAGTTGAAAAGAATATAAGTATATCTCAGGATTTAAATATTCATAGCTCATTTTATTTACTTTGGAAAAATCTAGCATGTTTTCTAGCATGTGAGTTTTCTTCCAGTTCTCATGGTCAGATTATATTATGGTGAAATATCAGAAACACAGGTGCCATAACTGTTGTACTCACAATAATATCTTAGTGGAACCAATGAGCATAGAAAATTGATAATCAATTACTTAGTAAAAGTTAGGTAATACTTTTAATAGCTCAAATGTTTTAACTTGTGAAAAATCATATTTTTGTCTGAAAGTAGTGATAAATCCAAGTAACATATATATAATATATATATATATAAAATATATTAATATCTGCAAGCTACAGGGATATTATTGCATGCAACATGAATTTACACAAATGAGAAATAACTGAAACTGATTATCATAATTTTTTTTTTTTTTTGAGACAGAGTGTCGCTCTGTCACCCAAGCTGGAGTGCAGTGGCGTGATCTCGGCTCACTGCAAGCTCCGCCTCCTGGGTTTACTTAGGCCATTCTCCTGCCTCAGCCTCCCAAGTAGCTGGGACTACAGGCGCCCGCCACCACACCAGGCTAATTTTTTTGTATTTTTAGTAAAGGTGGGGTTTCACCGTGTTAGCCAGGATGGTATCGATCTCCTGACCTCGTGATCCGCCCACCTCAGCCTCCCAAAGTGCTGGGATTACAGGCGTGAGCCACCGTGCCCAGCCGATTATCATAATTTTTTTAAGTAGTCAGATAATGTTCATACAATACTGAAGCTATTTATGTCCTTAAAATTTTCTCTATATATTCATATTTTCTTTATCTTTTATGTTTATAAACACATTTTTTGAAAAATTATAACATGCAAACACGGCTAGCAGGTGAGAAGCAGAAAACCAAAACTGAGGTTAAAAAAATAGAGAGATACTTAAAATAAAGAAAGAAGGGGGGCAATAAAAGTCATATAGATTTAGTAATTGGCCTCAAGCCTATTTTAGGAAAATAAGTTTAAGTTAATATGTTCAAGATTTCTTAAGCAGACTGAAATCTAGCCCGGTTGTAACAGTTTTCTTGATGTTCTTGAGAAAATGAGTAATTTATACTAAATATGTGTTTCTTTGTAAGTGTTAAATAATACATAGATTTTAAAGAGTATTAATCTTAAATGTTATACAAATGAGTTTTAAGTTTTACTGCAACAGTTTAAATCTGTTCATATAATAAATATAAATTTCTTCATTAGGTGAAATTTTTATGCTTATTTAGTGCTAACACAGCTGCCACTATACAAAATTTCTCTACTTTCTCAGTGAAAAAATGACTTTGTATCATACTTAAATAGACAAAGTCTCCAAAATACTTGGAAAGGTAAATTTGAAGGAAAGACTATAGAGAAAAAAGTCCATTTTCTATATTTTTGCTATATAACTCAACTAACAATATTTTTAGACATAAAATTCCCTTGTATTTTTTTTTACTAGTTTTGTTTTCACGTATTTTGAATGGTTTATTTTCTGATTTGGGACAATTAAATAAACCAGACTTTCTATTAACCCACAAAGTGAAATGCTTACATTTTATAATCCTAGGTTATTGCAAAAATATTATTACATGATTGTCTAATTTTGAAATGTATAGCCCAATTGAATAATTCATTTATAAGTTGAATTAATTATTCAATTTATTTACAATATTAATCATCAAACATTTATTAAACACCTACTTTATCCATATGTTCAGAAAATATTCTGTAAAGTTTTAATCTTATTATGTTAGAGCTATTATTTTAAGTATAGTAATCAGAGTGGAGAAAACCCAATAATACTAAAAGTAATGTATGTGTTTGAAATTCGTGAAAATGACAAAATGATTTATTAAAGGAGACACAACCTGAATACTGGCATTAAACTATTTCCACTTTATTACATATTACCTTAAATATTAATGTATTATAAGATACTTAATTGAACTTTTTTTCCTCTTTATACTCCATCTTCAATCTTTTTTACCATAGAAGTAAGCTAATCATTTGTGTTTCTTCCCTAAAGGAAGTTTGTGTTAACAAGGCTTCAATCCATGGGACCTATGTTTCTGATTTACATGTTTCTATATCCTAAATTTACTAACACAAATTAACAAAGCTTTTATTCATTACCCACAGGAATTAATGAAGAAAAGTCAGAGATTTGAAAGAATTTCCCTTCACTGGGACTGGGTTACAGGTTTGCTATTCCTCTCTCACTGAAGGCAGTGGCAAGGCCAGGGACAACTGGACCCAGGGCCCCTGGCTCCTGCATTCCCAGACTGCATGAAAATGTGCCTTTCTTATTTATGGCAGAGAAGAGAGCAGCAGGGCTTCTAAGGAACATGCACTTGGAAAATAGGGTAAGAATAGTATCCATAATGGAGGGGATATTTGTTTCCTTTTCTTCATTATTCAGACATGTATTAAGCCACACTGATTTTTGTGAAAACTGAGAATGAGCATTCAACTGTGCACAGCTATAAATTATCACACTTTTAGTCATTTCCTTTAGAATTAGTCTGCAAAAGCTAACCTTTTTATATTTTTCATATTGAACTCTGGCTTACAAAATTAATTTCCAAATTGCTAAAGATTCAAAAGGGATTGATAAGGAATTCCTGCTCAAGGCTTCAGATTGATTATCTGAACCTATGATGTTGTTTCCATAATATTCTGCCTTAGCTACACCCAGATATAGTCATTAACTGCATGCCATTGTCCCAAAGAAGTCCATTTCAGGCCTTTCTCATTACACTTACTCCCTACTACTCTTAAATTTTACTTACTCATCACTTATGCAACGTTGCTTAGGGTTGAAAAAAAACTGCATTATTCATGTTGTTAAAATAATCATGTTGTTAAAAAAATACTCTATATCATGCCTCCCAAGATAACCTTGATTACTAAATTTTCTCAGGTGAAAGACACGTAACCAGTTGTTTTTATTTAATAAAACAAAAGTAAATTTAAAACATTAATTTTATTGTGCCTACTGTTGCCTTTGCAAATATGTTGAACCTGTTTGAAACTGCTTCTCCTACCCTGATGAAATCTTGAGAAGGTCCCATAGCTTTGCTGGCTACTTCATTTAAGCCCTGACCAGACATTAAAAACAAAATAGACTTGCTTCTTCCTAAGGTCAATTGATATGCATAACCTAACAAAATTGAACCAAGAAGAAACAGAAAACCTCAATATACCAAAATGACTAGTGAGATTGAATCAGTAATACAAATTTCATAACAAAGAAAAGCTTAAGACCAGGTGTCTTCATTGTTGAATTCTACCAACCTTTAAAAGAAGAACTAACACAAATGCTTCTCAAACTATTCAAAAAATTGAAGCAGAAGAAATTCTTCCTAACTCATTCTATAAGGCCAAAATTACACTGATACCAAAACCAGACAAAGACACAACAAAAAATAAAACTACAGGCCCATATCCCTGATTAACATAGATGCAAAAATCTTCAATCAAACAAGAGCAAACTGAATTCAACAGCACATTAAAAAGATAATAAATAGACTTGATCAAGCGGGATTTATCCCAGGGATGCAAGGATAATTCGACATATGCAAATCAATAAATATACTGAATCAACAGCATAAAGGATTAAAAACCATTTGATTATCTCAATAGATGCAAAAATACCACTTGATAGAATTCAATATCCATACATGATAAAAACATTCAACAAATTAGGTAGAGAAAGAACATACCTCAACACAATAAAGGCCATATATGACTAATCCACAGTTAACATCACACTGCATGGAGAAAAGCTGAAAGCTTTTACTTTATGATCAGGAAAAGACCAAAACAGCATGGTACTGGCACAAAAACAGCAATCCCATTATTGGATATATACCCAAAGGAATATAAATCACTCTACCATAAAGACACATGCACATGTATGTTCACTGCAGCACTAGTCACAATAGCAAAGACATGGAATCAACTTAAAGGTCCATCAAGGTAGACTGGACAAAGAAAATGACAGGCATAACATGCATATATACCATGGAAGACTATACAGCCGTAAAAAAGAGCAAGATTATGTCCTTTGCAGCAACATGAATAAAGCTGGAGGCCATTATCCTAAGCAAACTAATGCAGGAATAGAAAACCAAATACTGCATGTTCTCACTTATAAGTAGGAGTTAAACAACAAGAATGCACGGACAGAAAGAGGGGAACAACAGACATCAGGGCCTACCTGAGGGTGAAGGACAGGAGGAGGAAAAGGATCAACAAACTACCTACTGTGTACTATTCTTATTACCTGGGTAACAAAATAATCTGTATACCAAATGCCCATGACGCACAGTTTATCTATATAACAAACCTGCACATACATCCTTGAACCTAAAAAATAAGAATAAAGAAACACACAAAAAAAGACATATAGACTAATGGAACTGAATAGAAAACTCAGAAATAAAGCCTCACACCTACAATCGTCTGATCTTAAACAAAGAGAATGAAAGCAAGCAATAGTGTAAGGACTCTATTTAATAAATGGTTCTGGAATAACTGGCTAGCCATAAGCAGATAAATAAAACTAGACACTTACCTTTCATCATTACAAGCATTAACTCAAGATGGATTAAAATGTAAATGAAAGACCCCAAACAATTAAAATCCTAGAAGAAAACATTGAAAATGCCCTCTCAACATTGGCCTTGGCAAAGAATTTCTGACTAAGTCCCCGAAAGCAATTGCAAAAAAACAAAAATTGAGAAGGGGAACCTAATTAAACTAAAAAGCTTCTCCACAGCAAGATAAACTATCAGCAGAGTAAACAGACAACCTACAGAATGTGATAAAATACTCACAAATAGAGGCCTAATATCCAGAATCTACAGGGAACTTAAACAAATCAACAAGCCAAAAAGCAATAACCCCTTTAAAAATGGGCAAAGGACATGAATAGACACTTCTCAAAAGACGTGCAAATGGCCAAAACATGAAAAAATGTTCAACATCACTAATCATTAGAGAAATGCAAATCAAAACCACAATAAGATACCATCTCACACAAGTCAGAATGGCTATTATTAAAAAGCCATAAAACAACAGATGTTGGCAAAGCTGTAGAGAAAAATGAATGGTTATACACTGTTGGTAGGAATGTAAATTAGCTCAGTCACTGTGAACAGCAGTTTGGAGGTTTTTCAATGAGCTTAAGACAGAATTACTATTCAACCCAGCAATCCTGTTACTGGGTATATACGCAAAAAATATATAATTATATTGTAAAAACACATGTACTCATATGTGCATCACAGCACAATTCACAATAGCAAAGACATGGAATCAACCTAGGTTTCCAGCAATGGTAGATTAGAAAAAGAAAATGTGATACATATATACCATGAAATACTATGCAGCCATATAAAGGAAAAAGTCATGTCCTTTGCAGCACCATGTATGGATGGAGTGGGAGGACATAATCCTAAGCGAATTAATGCAGGAACAGAAAACTGAATACTGCATGCTCTCAATAATAAGTGGGAGCTAAATATTGAACTCATATGGACACAAACAAGGAAACAATAGACACTGTGGACTACTAGAGTAGGAGGGTAAATAGGGGCCATATTATTGATGGGTACCAAAAACTACCTATTGGATAATATATTCACTACATGGGTGCAATATATCTATGTAAAAATTCTGCACATGTACCCCCTGTGTCTAAAAGTAAAGGTGAAATTTAAATGAGAAAAAATACTAATAGAAAAATTAAAAAGAGAGAGAGAAAAAATGAAAAGACATGGATGCCCACTTTCACCACACCTACTGAACACAGTACTGGAAATCCTAGCTAGAGCAATTAGGCTAGAGAAAGATTAAAAAGGGCACCCCATTTGGAAGAGAGGAAGTCAAACTGTCCCTCTTTGCAAATGACGTTATCATATATATAAAAACGTAAGGACATCACCAATGGAAAATAATAGATTACCCAGAAATAAATCCGTGGATGAGCCTTGCTCACTGCTAGAGCAGCAGGCCAAGATCGAACTGCGAGGTGGCAGTCTGGCTGAGAGAGGGGCATCCGCCATTACTGAGGCTTGAGTAGGTAAACAAAGTGGCCAGGAAGCTCAAACTGGGTGGAGCCCACCGCGGCGCAATGAGGCCTGCCTGCCTCTGTAGACTCCACCTCTGGGGGCAGGGCATAGCTGAACAAAAGGCAGCAGAAACTTCTGCAGACTTAAAAGTCTCCGTCTGACAGCTCTGAAGAGAGCAGTGATTCTCCCAGCATGGTGTTTGAGCTCTGAGAATGGACAGACTGCCTCCTCAAGTGGGTCCCTGACCCCCAGGTAGCCTGAATGTGAAAGACCTCCCAGTAGGGGCCGACTGACGCCTCATACAGCCGGGTGCACCTGTGAGACAAAGCCTCCAGAGGAAGGATCAGGCAGCAATATTTGCTGTTCTGCAATATTTGCTGTTCTGGAGCCTCCACTGGTAATATTCAGATAAACAGGGTCTGGAGTGAACCTCCAGCAAGCTCCAACAGACCTGCAGCTGAGGGACCTGACTGTTAGAAGGAAAACTAACAAATAGAAAGGAATAGCATCAACATCAACAAAAAGGACATCCACAACAAAACCCCATCTGTAGGTCACCATCATCAAAGAAAAAACGTAGATAAAACCATGAAGATGGGGAGAAACCAGAGCAGAAAAGATGAAAATCCTAAAAACCAGAGAGCCTCTTCTCCTCCAAAGGATCACAGCTCCTCAACAGCAATGGAATAAAGCTGGACAGAAAATGACTTTGACGAGTTGACAGAAGTAGGCTTCAGAAGGTCGGTAATAACAAACTTCTCCGAGCTAAAGAAGGATGTTCGAACCCAATGCCAAGGGAGCTAAAAAACTTGAAAAAAGATTAGACGAATGGCTAACTAGAATAAACAGCAGAGAGAAGAACTTAAATAACCTGATGGAGCTGAAAACCACGGCACAAGAACTACATGACACATACACAAGCTTCAGTAGCCAATTCGATCAAGTGGAAGAAAGGGTATTGGTGACTGAAGATCAAATTAATGAAATGAAGTGAGAAGAGAAGTTTAGAGAAAAAAGAATAAAAAGAAATGAACAAAGCCTTCAAGAAATATAGGACTATGTGAAAAAACCAAATCTACATTTGATTGGTGTACCTGAAAGTCATGGGAAGAATGAAACCAAGTTGGAAAACACCTACATGATATTACACCCAGGAGAACTTCCCCAACCTAGCAAGGCAGGCCAACATTCAAATTCAGGAAATAAAGAGAACACCACAAAGATACTCCTCGAGAAGAGCACCCCAAGACACATAATTATCAGATTCACCAAGGTTGAAATGAAGGAAAAAATGTTAAGGGCAGCCAGAGAGAAAGGTCGGGTTACCCACAAAGGGAAGCCCATCAGACTAACAACATATCTCTTGGCAGAAACCCTACAAGTAGAAGAGAGTGGGGGCCAGTATTCAACATTCTTAAAGAAAAGAATTTTCAACCCAGAATTTCATATCCAGCCAAACTAAGCTTCATAAGTGAAAGAGAAATAAAATCCTTTAAAGACAAGCAAATGCTGAGAGATTTTGTCACTACCAGGCCTGCCTTACAAGAATTCCTGAGGGAAGCACTAAACATGGAAAGGAACAACCGGTACCGGCCACTGCAAAAACATGCCAAATTGTAAAGACCATTGATGCTAGGAATAAACTGCACCAACTAACGGGCAAAATAACCAGCTAACATCATAAGGATAGGATCAAATTCACACATAACAATATTAACCTTAAATGTAAATGGGCTAAATGCTCCAATTAAAAGAAACAGACTGGCAAATTGGATAAAGAGTCAACATCCATCAGTATCCTATATGCAGGAGACCCATCTCATGTGCAGAGACACACATAGGCTCAAAATAAAGGGATGGAGGAAGATCTACCAAACAAATGAAAAACAAAAAAAAGCAGGGGTTGCAATCCCAGTCTCTGATAAAACAGACTTTAAACCAACAAAGATCAAAAGAGACAAAGAAGGCCATTACATAATGGTAAAGGGATCAATTAAACAAGAAGAGCTAACTATCCTAAATATACATGCACCCAATACAGGAGCACCTAGATTCAAAAAGCAAGTCCTTAAAGACCTACAAAGAGACTTAGATTCCCACACGATAATAATGGGAGACTTTAACACCCCACTGTCAATATTAGACAGATCAAGGAGACAGAAGGTTAACAAGGATATCCAAGACTTGAACTCAGCTCTGCACCAAGGGGACCTAATAGACATCTACAGAACTCTCCACCCCAAATCAACAGAATACACATTCTTCTCAGCATCACATAGCACTTATTCAAAAATTGACCACATAGCTGGAAGTAAATCACTCCTCAGCAAATGTAAAAGAACAGAAATCACAACAAACCATCTCTTAGACCACAGTGCAAACAAATTAGAACTTAGGATTAAGAAACTCACTCAGAAATGCACAACTACATGGAAATTGAACAACCTTCTCCTGAATGACTACTGAGTAAACAACGAAATGAAGACAGAGACAAAGATGTCCTTTGAAACCAATGAGAACAAACAAACAACATACCAGAATCTCTGGGACACATTTAAAGCAGTGTATAGAGGGAAATTTATAGCACTAAATGCCCACAAGGGAAAACAGGAAAGATCTAAAATCGATATTGTAACATCAGAATTAAAAGAACTAGAGAAGTAAGAGCAAACACATTCAAAAGCTAGCAGAAGGCAAGAAATAACTAAGATCAGAGCAGAACTGAAGGAGACAGAGACACAAAAAACCTTCAAAAAATCAATGAATCCAGGAGCTCATTTTTTGAAAAGATCAACAAAATTGATAGACAGCTAGCAAGACTAATAAAGAAGAAAAGAGAGAAGCATCAAATACTTGCAATAAGAATGATAGAGGGGATATCACCACTGATCCCACAGAAATACAAACTACCATCAGAGAATACTATAAACACCTCTGTGCAAATAAACTAGAAAATCTAGAAGCAGTGGATAAATTCCTGGACACATACACCCTCCCAAAACTAAACCAGGAAGAAGTTGAATCCCCGAATAGACCAATAAAAGGCTGTGAAATTGAGGCAATAATTAATAGTCTACCAACCAAAAAAAAGTCCAGGACCAGATGGATTCACAGCTGAATTCTATCAGAGGTACAAAGAGGAGCTGGTACCATTCCTTCTGAAAATATTCCAATCAATAGAAAAAGAGGGAATCCTCCCTAACTCATTTTATGAGGCCAGCATCATCCTGATACCAAAGCCTGGCAGAGACACAACAAAAAAAGAGAATTTTTGACCAATATCCCTGATGAACATCGATACAAAAATCCTCAATAAAATACTGGCAAACCAAATCCAACAGCACATCAAAAAGCTAATCTACCTCGATCAAGTTGGCTTCCTCCCTGGGATGCAAGGTTGGTTCAACATACGCAAATCAATAAACACAATCCATCACGTAAACAGAACCAACAGCAAAAACCACATGATTATCTCAATAGATGCAGAAAAGGCCTTTGACAAAATTCAACAGCCCTTCATGCTAAAAACTCTCAATAAATTCGGTATTGATGGGACGTATCTCAAAATAATAAGAGCTATTTATGACAAACTCACAGCCAATATCATACTGAATGGGCAAAAACTGGAAGCATTCCCTTTGAAAACTGGCATAAGACAGGGATGCCCTCTCTCACCACTCCTATTCAACATAGTGTTGGAAGTTCTGGCCAGGGCAATCAGGCAGGAGAAAGAAATAAAAGGTATTTGATTAGGAAAAGAGGAAGTCAAATTGTCCCTGTTTGCAGATGACATGATTGTATCTCTAGAAAACCCCATCGTCTCAGCCCAAAATCTCCTTAAGCTGATAAGCAACTTCAGCAAAGTCTCAGGATACAAAATCAATGTGCAAAAATCACAAGCATTCTTATACACCAATAACAGACAGCCAAATCATGAGTGATCTCCCATTCACAATTGCTTCAAAGAGAATAAAATACCTAATAATCCAACTTACAAGGGATGTAAAGGACCTCTTCAAGGAGAACTACAAACCACTGCTCAATGAAATAAAAGAGAACACAAACAAATGTAAGAACATTCCATGTTCATGGATAGGAAGAATCAGTATCGTGAAAATGGCCATACTGCCCAAGGTAATTTATAGATTCAACGCCATCCCCATCAAGCTACCAACGACTTTCTTCACAGAATTGGAAAAAACTACGTTAAAATTCATATGGACCAAAAAAGAGCCTGCATTGCCAAGTCAATCCTAAGCAAGAAGAACAAAGCTGGGGCATCACGCTACCTGACTTCAAGCTATACTACAAGCTACCATAACCAAAACAGAGACACAGAACAATGGAACAGAACACAGGCCTCAGAAATAACAGCATACATCTACAACCACCTGATCTTTGACAAACCTGACAAAAACAAGAGATGGGGAAAGGATTCCCTATTTAATAAATGGTGCTGGGAAAACTGGCTAGCCATATGTAGAAAGCTGAAACTGGATCCCTTCCTTACACCTTATACAAAAATTAATTCAAGATGGATTAAAGACTTAAATGTTAGACCTAAAACCATAAAAACCCTAGAAGAAAACCTAGGCAATACCATTCAGGACATAGGCATTAGCAAGGACTTCATGATCAAAACACCAAAAGCAATGGCAACAAAAGCCAAAATCGACAAATGGTATCTAATTAAACTAAAGAGCTTCTGCACAGCAAAAGAAACTATGATCAAAGTGAACAGGCAACCTACAGAATGGGAGAAAATTTTTACAATCTATCCATATGACAAAGGGCTAATATCCAGAATCTTCAAAGAACTTAAACAAATTTAAAAGAAAAAATCAAACAACCCCATCAAAAAGTGGACAAAGGATATGAATAGACACTTCTCAAAAGAAGACATTTAAGCAGCCAACAGACACATGAAAAAATGCTCATCATCACTGGTCATCAGAGAAATGCAAATCAAAACCACAATAATGAGATACCATCTCACACCAGTTAGAATGGCGATCATTAAAAAGTCAGGAAACAACAGGTGCTGGAGAGGATGTGGAGAAATAGTAACACTTTTACACTGTTGGTGGGACTGTAAACTAGTTCAACCATTGTAGAAGACATTGTGGCAATTCCTCAAGGATCTAGAACTAGAAATACCATTTGACCCAGCCATCCCATTACTGGGTATATACCCAAAGGATTATAAATCATGCTACTATAAAGACACATGCACATGTATGTTTATTGTGGCACTATTTACAATAGCAAAGACTTGGAACCAACCCAAATGTCCATCAATGATAGACTGGATTAAGAAAATGTGGCACATATACACCATGGAATACTATGCAGCCATAAAAAAGGATGAGTCCATGTCCTTTACAGGGACATGGATGAAGCTGGAAACCATCATTCTGAGCAAACTATCGCAAGGACAGAAAACTAAACACCTCATGTTCTCACTCATATGTTGGAATTGAACAATGAGAAAACTTGGACACAGGGCAGGGAACATCACACACCAGGGCCTGTCATGGGGTGGGGAGCTAGGGGAGGGATAGCATTAGGAGAAATACCTAATGTAAATGACGAGTTAATGGGTGCAGCATACCAACATGGCACACGTATACATATGTAACAAACCTGCACATTGTGCACACGTACCCTAGAACTTAAGGTATAATAAAATAAATAAATAAATAAAATAAATCCGTGTATTTACTACCAACTGATTTTCGATAAAGGCACTGAGGACATACATTAAATAAACAACAGTACTTCAATAAATGGTGTTATAAAACTAAATATTTATATGTAGAAGAATGAAACTAATCCCTTATCTTTTACCATATACAACAATCTACTCAAAATTGAATATTCAAAATTGATAGGAAGAGTAAGTTCTAGTGCTCTATAGCATTGTAGGGTGACTACAGTTAACAATTTATTGTATATCATCAAATAGCTAAAAGAGAGGATTTTGAAAGTTCTCAACACAAAGAAATGATAAATTTTTAAGGTAATAGATATACTAATTACCCAGACTTGCTCACTACAAATTGTATACATGTATCAAAACATTCTGTATTCTATAAATGTGTACAATTGTCAAGTATCAACTACATTTTATTTTATTTTATTTTTCCATAAGTTATTGGGGTATAGTTGGTATTTGGTTACATGAATAAGTTATTTAGTGGAGATTTGGGATAACCTGGTGCACTCATCACTCGAGCAGTATACACTGTAGCATATTTGTTGTCTGTCATCCCTCGCTCTCTTCCCAACCTTCCCCCTAAGTCCTCAAAGTCCATTGTATCATTCTTATGCCTTTGCATCCTCATAGCTTAGCTCCCACATATAAGTGAGAACATACGATGTTCTGTTTTCCATTCCTGAGTTACTTCACTTAGAATAATGGTCTCTAATCTCATCTAGGTCATTGCAAATGCTGTTAATTCATTCCTTTTTATGGCTGAGTAGTATTCCATCACACATATATACCAGAGTTTCTTTATCCACTCATTGATGGGCATTTTGGTTGATTCCATGACTTTGCTATTGGGAATTGTGCTGCTATAAACACCTGTGTGCAAGTATCTTTTTCAAATAATGCTTATCTTCCTCTGTGTAGACACACAGTAGTGGGATTGCTGGATTAAACTTTTAGTTCTTCAAGGAATCTCCACATTGTTTTCCATAGCAGCCATACTAGTTTATATTCCCACCAGCAGTGTAGAAATGTTCTCTGATTGCCGCATCCATGCCAACATCTACTTTTTTTGGTTCTTCAATTATGACCGTTCTTACAGGAGTAAGTTGGTATCACATTTTTGATTTGCATTTCCATGATCATTAGGAATGTTAAGCATTTTTTCAAATGTTTCTTGGCCATTTGTACATCTTCTTTTGAGAATTGTCTACTCATGTCCTTACCCCACTTTTTAATGGGATTGATTGTTTTTTCTTTTTCTTGCTAATTCATATTTGTTCATTGCAGATTCTGGATATTAGTCCTTTGTCATATGTACAGACTGTGAAGATTTTCTCCCACTCTGTGGATTATCTGTTTACTTACTGCCCCTTTTGCTGTGCAAAAGCTCTTTAGTTTAATTAGGTACCAGGTATTTATCTTTGCTTTTATTGCAATTGTTTTTGGGTTTTTGGTCATGAAATCCTTGCCTAAGCCAATGTCTAGTAAGGTTTTTCTGATTTTATCTCCTAGAATTTTTATAGTTTCAGTTCTTAGGTTTAAGTCCTCAATCCATCTTGAGCTGATTTTTATGTAAGGTGAGAGATGAAGATCCAGTTTCATTCTTCTACATGTGGCTAGTTAATTATCTCAGCACCATTTGCTGAAAAGGTTGTCGTTTCCCCCACTTTATGTTTTTGTTAAGCATCAACTAAAAATTAAAAAAAAATTCCCACAAAAAATTTCATGGGGGAAACTCTTGCATTAAAATATGACTTATGTTATTATGAATTTGAAAATTGATTTGCTAAGACAGTTCTCTTTATTTGTCGTATTGTTTGTCTATAATAGGAAGACTTTCTGGATCAGGCATATTAAGATTCATGCTTCAAAAGTGTCTTTCCTTTTGAATAATAGTGTGTTATGGACTGATGTGTGTCCTCCCCAAATTCATATGTTGCAAACCTAACCATCAATGTGACCGTATTTGGAGATAAGGCCTGTAAGGAGGCAAAGTTTAATGAGGTCATAGAGGTAGGGCTCTAATCTAATGGGACTGATGTCCTTATAAGAAGAGAAAGAGGCACCAGAGACACCCAGAGACAGAGGAAAGGGATCTGAGAAGAGGATGCTACCTGAGAGACAAAGAGAGAGGCCTCGGGAGAAACTAATCTGCTTTGATTGTGAGCTGCCAGCCTCTAAAACTATCAGAAATAAATTTCTGTTTTTTAAGCCACCAGGTCTGTGACAGCTTACTATGGTAGCCTAAGAAGGCTAATACAGCATGTTATCATGGTTGTTATTAAAGAATTGAGAACAGGCTGGGTGCAGTGGCTCACACCTGTAATCCCAGCACTTTGGGAGGCCGAGGCAGGCAGATCACCGGAGGTCACGAGTTTGAGACCAGCCTGGCCAACATGGCGAAAACCCATCTCTACTAAAAATAGAAAAATTAGCTGGGCGTGGTGGTGGGCTGAGGCAGGAGAATCACTTGAACCCGGCAGGGGGAGGTTGCAGTGAGCCAAGATCGCTCCATTGCACTCCAGCCTGGGCAACAATAGATAAACTCTTGTCAGAGAAAAAAAAAAAAGAAAAGAAAAAAAGAATTGAGAATAGTGTTTCAATGTATAAAAGAGAAAATGTCCTCTTACTTTTGCACAATTTTATATAGATTTCAAAAAAATGTTATCTTGTCCTAAAAAGATCATAAAGTTAGAAAAGTTACTTACATTGTTCAGACTATTTTTTGTAATAAGTCATTGGAATAAGATTGTTTCTGTCCTGAGTCCAGAAAACTTTTCACACATGAATTCCAATTTTCCATCATATCTTTGAATCCCTGCTCTAAAAGTAATCTAGTGATGCTTTCCAATAGTAGAAAGAATGACTCTCATGTTTTGAAGTACTGTGTTTTAATGATTCCCACATTTGACACATTTATCTCTATGCATCAGCAATAAAACAGTGAACAGCCTAAACATAGCTCTTGCCATCACAGTATGTATAATATTGCAGAAATAAATTTGCTATTAAAGGTGTTAGCAACTAATTCCATGGAAGCAAATGAAAAAATGTGCTGTTTTGGTCATCATTCCAAGAGGACTTTGTTCAAATTCTGCTTCATTATTCTGAAACCCTTTTAAAGATCTATTTTCTTTTTTGGCTTGGGGAAAAAATAAAGCTAGAAATAAATTGTGACTATTAACTATGGTTATCAATAAAAATAATATTCATATATACAACAATCACATGGTATAAGAAACTTATGTATTTATAAACCAATAATATTTTGATTCATCTATTATTGCAGCAAAATCTGGCTGATCATCGCTGTTACACCATGTTATAATGTACTGATATTAACCAAGAATTCCACATTCTAAACTCAATAATATAAGTGTGTCTTTTCAGAAATCTGTTCTTTCTTCTCTACATCCTGAAAATTCCATCCACTCATAATATTATTTCTTTACAATATTGGAATTAACTAGTAATTTTGGAGGGGATGTTAGCGTATGCCACAGCCTAGAATCATACTGGTCATAAGACATTCAAATACTTTCCAATTTTAGAAGCTTATCTTAGAATGTGGAGGCTCAACTTAGATAGAAGATATGGATCATCTCTTATGGAGTATCTTCATCTTTATTATAAACACATAAATGCTGTTTTAATTCTGAGATCTCACTAAGTTTGGACTTTAGACATTCTATTATCTTTTAGTTTTTCAAATGCACTGCCTTCAGCTTTATGTGCCATATGTGGTTATATAGTGAATTTTACAGATTCTTGCCACTTTCTACATACCTTCACCTCCCATCAATGTTTTTGCCAATTATTTCTAAAATTTCACTTTATCTGTTTTCACAAAACAATTGGCAGATACCAAGTAATGTATAGCATTGATTTTTGTCTTATTTATAATGACCTTTAGGTTCTCTTCCAAAGCTTCTGGAATCTAAAATCCTACATACCTCCCTTGGGCACTGCCTCCCTACTCTGCCACTTTCACCTGAATGTAGGTGAGACATTGCTATGATCAATAAGCATAGAAACACTACACTCTCTTCAATTAGGTCAATCCTCTGAACACTGAGAAACTATTATATTAACAGGTCTTAAATTAAACATTGTAAAAAGAGCTACCACATATTGAGAGTGTGATACATACTTGACATTTAGCTAAGCCTTATAATACATTATTTTATTTAATACAATAATTGCATTAGGTACTATTAATGTGCCATGTTGTATATAGAAAAATATGGCCCCCAAAGAGTAAATAGCATGTCCAAAGTCATGTAAAACAGAATTGGGAGAGGCAAGCTTAAATGTGCTTGCTTCTGAGTTTATAATCTGTACCCTTACTCATTAATTTAGCCTGCCTGTCTCTCCTAGTACTGACCCTATGTTAACATTCTTTCCTAACAGGCTACTCAGTTTCACACCCTAATTGAGTCTTGGCTAGGTACTCAACTGATCTCTTAGACATCCTCAGATATATCTGAATTCCAGTGGTTAACAGACTGTAAGCTCAAAAAAATTAAATTACAACTAAAAATTTGTGCAGAATTTAGAGATGCCCTAAAGTAATTGGAAATATTCCACATGTCACCAAACTGGGGCACAGAGTTAATTGAAGAATATTTTAATAGGGTTAAATTTATTCAGTGAATTTTGATGATAAATAATTTAAACACACTGGATTTAGCAGCTTAAAATGTTATTTTTTCCTAGGATTTTAGATATTCTTGAAACTCCATGTAAGCAGACACAATTAAAAACAAAATATATTTCACACTCGATAACTTGACATAATGAAGAGTTACAAACTATTTCATTTCTTTTAGATCTGGATTTTAAATATTTACCATCACATTATTAAAACCCGTCACATACAGACACACACCCCTATATATCTCCCAAAATACAGAAAAACAAAAATGTAAAAATAATCTATAACAACACAGTGTAGAAATTTCAATTAGTTTACCTGTATTGATATTTATATCATTTAGATGATGGAGCTGAACCTAACCACAGTATTTTGTGGAATGATCTTTAAATACATTTTATTGTATTTCAGAAGCCTCCACATGCCTCTTCCTCATCCTTCTTCATCCTTCCAGGAGTAATTTACTAATGCAACATTTATGACCTTTACTTCGCTATTATTCTTAATCATTTTATTAGTATTTAAACAAAATTTGGACTTTGTTTAAATGTAATCAAATTGCACATGTTCTATTGTTTCTGATCTCTCTCTCTCTCTCTGTCTCTCTCTCTCAATATTATGTCTGTAAGACTCTTCCAGGTTTGTGCTTACTTATGCAATACTTTTATTTCTATGACTGTAGTTATAGCTTTCCATATCAATATACTATTATTTGCTTCTTCCTTCTATGGATATTAGAAGGTTTATTTCCAGCCTTGGGTTATTTAGGCTGGAAATAGGGTTTAGGGTTCTTTCCAGTCTATTTAAATATATTTATTAGACTTATATTAGAAATATAATTAGACTTATATTTTAAATTATATATTTTAAATATATATTATATATTTAATTTTAAATATATAATTTAAAATATAAGTCTATCTATATTTATATATATTTAAATATATTTAAATTAAATTATAAAATTTATATATATTTAAAATATATAATTAAAATATATAATATATATTAAGTATAAAAATATATAAAATATATTTTAAAAATAAAATTAAAATATATAAATATATATTTAAAATATATAATTTAAAACATAAGTCCAATTATATTTCTAATATATATTGATATATTAGAAACAATCCTATTGTTATTATCCCTTGAATGCTTATGGATACTTAAAAACTTTCATTCTTGTGGTATATATTCTCAAGCATAGAATTGTAAATCAATAGGATTTGCTTATCTTCTGCTTTATGAGATACTACCTAACATTTTCAGATTTTACATTATTTATTGGCATTATATAAGAGTTTTCTTTGTTCCACATTTACCCATCATTTGTTCAGATTGCATAATTTCTACAAATCTCTTGGGTATATGATGGTATCTCACTGTGATTTAAATTTGCATCTACCTGATTCCTAACAAGGTTGAGAATATTTTCATCTTTCTTAGACATTTGGGGTTTCTTTCTTATAAAGTGGCCTTTTAGATTCTTTAACAATATCTTCATTTGTCTTTGCTTATTGATAAATTAGTATATTCTGAATATAAAGTTTTTTTTCTCTTTTATGAATTGCAAATATATTTTCCATGGTGTGATTTGCCTTTTTACTTCACCTGGTCTCAGTATAAAAGGCAACTAGGCATTCCAATGCAAAATGTTAAGGTTCATCTTTGCAAAAAAAAAAAAAAAAGAAATAAAAGAAAGAAAGAATTCTTATACAACTCTATAAAATAAGAACATATGTCCATATAACATTCTAAAAAAAAAAATAAGCCACAAGCAGGGAGAAGATATTATAAAGCATATACCTGTTATATAGCTAATAAAATATATATGTTACACACACACGTGCGTGTAATATATATAGTTATTTTATATACATGTATATATGTGTTTTATGTGTGTGTGTGAATATAATCTTACAAATCAGTAAGAAAAAAAAAACTAAAAGATTGACTGGGGACACTACCAGGAATGTAAATGGAAGATGAGACACAAGTAATTTACAAATATGAAATTAAAACTTTAACCACAAACACAATAAGAAAAACAAAAGAGCACAGTGTCACTGGCATTTTTTTCCTTCCTGTTAGCCTTTTCTTTTAATATTCAATTGTATAAATGTAAGGTGAACCATAAAAAAGCAGAGATGAATGAATCAGTCAGTTGAAAATATAAAATACATATAAAAATAAGTTAAAAGTGTATAAAATATTATAACATAGGCCTTTTCACTTTGGATTTCTCCATAAAAATATCAGAGAGGGGGGTTGAAACATTCCCAAATTATAACAAAAAACTAGGAAATCAATATTCATCCAAAAGAAATCAACAGATTATTGGTATACTCAGTATTACAACACAGATATCCATAGAGTTAATAGTAGTTCCAAGTTGATGTATTATTACTCAGTGGATTCTGAAAATAAGACAATACAACTCTGGCAGTTTCAGCAACACTCTATAGATGCTCAATATAGTAGTGTTAGCAATCAGCTGACTCCTGACTCAACTGTGACAGCATGTAAGGAAAACCATGAAATTTCAAAAATTACTTGGATGATGTTTCATGGAGTTTCAGTATCACCAGTGGACACCAAAGCCAGAAAAACTAGAAGCCTTATTCTATCTTATTCCCAAGCTGGTAAAGTTTAGTGTACCAGCACTGATACTTTTGATATCCTATCGAGGACTATTGAGAGAAAATGATCCATTTGCACTGCAGACCAATCACTACTGGTAATAACCAGGAATGCATTCTCATCCTGATCATCAAAGCTGTGTCACACAGATCAACTCCCACATAGGCTGTGCCAATCTTCATAGTATAAACCAAACAAAAAGGGAAAAATGGTAACACTACTGTATTTTGATACTGGTATTAAGGTCTTTCTGTATGGGATACAGATAGTGAAAAATGCATGATGCATAATCTGATCATGAGAAAATAATGATATGCTTGCATTTTGGTTGAACTCTCTAGTATATCTGAGTGCCATTAACGCATGAAAGTATATCAATCAAGAAGTGTTCAGGGAGTATATGTAGAGACATCATAAACAATAAATTGAAATCCCTTGGAAAAATCAATTAAGATCTTGAGGAACCAGGCAATGGAATGCAGACTGTGACAAGTGAATCTAACTGTATTACAAATCTATGGCCTAAGTTCACTGAAAGATGTGGGGAAAAGGGTAATGATCTATATGAAACTGGAAAAATTGTGTTTTGATGAGATGATGTAAGACTAAAAACATACAACCAAAACCTGTATTTAAATAGTATTTTATTTTCACAAGGGTATGGGTTAGCAGTTCTTAATCTATATGCATACTAACATTGAACAAGTACATAAATAGTAGATATGAGAACGATGCTTATACTGTCAGAAAAAGAAGTGGAAATACAGAAGTTGGGGGTGGGGGTCTGCTAGAATGATGATGTGGTGCTAAAGATAGTATGAACTCATGTTTATTTTCATATTCATACAGATTTATGTAAAATAATTACAGTATGTGTATACCTCGGTTAGTAATCTACATATATTTCCTAGTTATGTCTTCTCAGATGGTCTAGAAACAGTGACTCCTCAATGGCAATTAGCATACGAATGCTCATATCTTGGTGTAGAAATACCATTCTCCAATAAAAGGAACCAAGGCTTCTTGGAGAAATGGGTGATTCTAGGAGTTGGGCAAGAAAATAGAAGCTAAACCTGGCCTTGTTTAGGGCCAGAAAATAAAGACATGCACACACACACACACACACACACACACACACACACACAGAAAATTGTGAGAGAAATTCAAAAGGACACAGGAGATAATCTGGAAAAGTTCTAAATGGGCAAAGGTAAAACCATTCAAGCAACAAATAAATAATGATAATACTGGATTATAACTCAAGAAATAAAATATCTATTGATCCATACTCATAAAAATTAAAAAGTGAACAAAAATTAAGCTAGGAAGAAGGGGCAAATATATCTTATAGAACCATTCTAAATGATAGATAGCTCAACAGATAGATAGTCCCCACTCCAGAAAGCAGAGCTTACTTCTTCCTCCTTGAGTTAGGGGTAGACTTAGTGATTCAATTCCAAAAAATAGTATGTGAAAAATAAAAAAATAGTAACTTTACAGTTAAGAAACTTGGCAGATAGCGGCTTAACCAGTTGTCAAGGTTAATATTACCAGTGATCCGTCACGTTGATTTAATATGCCCCATGATATGATGCAATGAAAACCGTACTTCATCTCCTTGGTATTCTTTCCCCAAATCCAATAACCTCAGACTAACCATGATAAAACATCAGACAAACCCCAATTTAAAGACATTCTACTAAGTACCTGACTAGTACTTGTCAAAGCTGTCAAGGTTACCAAAAACAAGAAAAACCTGATAAACTGTCGCAGACAGAGGAGACGAAGAAGATATGAGGACAAAATGCAATGTGGTAGCCTGGACTGGATACTAAACAGAAAATAAACATTAGCAGAAAAATCAATAGAATAGGAATAGAGCCTGTAGTTACTAGTATTGTACCAATATTAATTGCTTAGTTTTGACAAATATACTGTGGTTATACATGAGGTTAACATTAGGGGAAGTTGAGTGAATGATATACATGGATTCTACTTTGTTTTCAAGTGTTCCATAAATCTAAAATTATCTCATAAGTTAAAGCTTATTTAAAAATTGTTTTTAAAGTAACTAATATCATTAAACAAGTGATAAAATAAGTGCTAATACCATAACTGAAGCCACCATGCACCAAAAGCTGTGTATGTTGTTGGAATATTTGTGCTAATACTTGGAAGGCAAAGTTTTTGAGTTTGGATTAGTGTGTGGCTCAGAGCAGATGTAAATGATATTAAATTCTCTAGGACCACACAATACTTTATGATCACAAGGCATCTTAGCCTAAGTGTCCATGTCTGATAACTTTAAATCATTTTTGAACCCATGCCATGGTTAAGAAGGAAAAAAATTCTTCCATGTTACTGGAGTTTTGGACAAGACAGAGAAGGATGAAAGAATTAAATCTTCCGTAGTGAATTCAGCTGGGACAAAGTATAACAGGGGATACATAGACTTCAATAGTATCAAAGAAGTTCAGAGTTCACGTGGCCCCATAGAGATCCTCAGTTCTCATCTTAAGTAAAGTTAATAATAAAGGAAAAGTCGATGGAGAGTAAGCCATGAATTGGTGCCCAGATAGAGGCCTTTTTATTGTTTGTTTTAACTATGGATCAGCAATTCCAGGATAGAATTGTATCACTAAAGGATTCTGAAATGAGAATTGTCCTGAGGACTCCCCAGAACACAGAACCCATGGGAAAGAAAATAAGAACCATGGGGATGACTTAAGGACCCACAATTTTGCTACCAGTCTGAGTGAAATGAGCATAAGCCAGTCAAATAGAGCCACGTGGTTCTCAGAAAAAATCTTGCAGTCATTCAAGACATACTAGCAAGATGACCAGAGGAACATCTGAGCCATGACACCAAAGATATCAAACACAAAGTAATTATTGTCCTTTAAAAACAGGGGTGTGCTCCAGAAGCAAAGTCTAACATTCTGTGAAGCAGAAACACCCACAATATTTACTGGTTGCAAGAGGCTCTTTCTTGCAATATATAACAGCAAGAAAAAAACTGTCTCTAGTGTTTTGACACTGAGAGCTACTTTAGAGGCCACCCAAAAATACCACAGTCATGAGCCATATAGGGCCTTTTAATACATAAGGGTATGTAGTAGACACATAAGTGACAATAGCACTCTGTTTCCTTAGGAAACTTTGGGACAACAAATCCAAGACAGCCACATGAGGACAGGTGCAGAGAAAAGGGCCGCCCATACCAATACTAACTTCTCATATTTTCCATCTTGGGGAAGCTCCAGAAATGAGAGCAGGTAAAAGCAAAATGGTTGTTCTGTAAGTTTTGGCTAAAAGGACTAGGAAATTACATCCCTAGATAGAGGCAGTCTGTCACAGAGCTGAAAAATCCAATGGCGGAAAACATTTCAGAGAACTAAGAGGTTTGGGGAATGTCATCTAGGTTAATAATTTATAAGGTCTCAATTATTAGTGTATTTCCAGAGACTCAAAGACAGATGCCAGCTCTTGGGCTCTGCAGAATCTAAAGCTGAATTTTTCAGAATCAGGATGAATCCTGCCTTGAGGCTAATAATTGAGGGAGCCACTAATGGAGTGAAAAAATCTCCGGGTTGATGTAGCTCCCCATAGGCCAAGCTGTGAAATCCACACAGTGATGACCCTGATGTGTCCACAGTGATATCACGCAAATACCCAGGCAGTGTGAAGACTCTGGAAGACAGTCTGTAGGCTGAGTCCAGAAGAATCAAAGCGCACCAGTAAATGATTGTTCATTGTTCCATCTTCTGGGATTAAAATGTCCGAGGGTAAAGACGTTTCCAAGTAACTATAAAAAAATTTCTGAAGGGAAAAATGACTTGGGATTCAGGCTTTGTTTTAATGAAAAAGAGACAAATTAGGGCATACTTGGCATAGCACATAGTGGAGTACCTACCAGTATCTCATGAGACACAAACTACCAACTACTTAAATAATTTTCATAACCTAGCTTTATAAATGTGTTTGTTCAGTATTTGTAAATGATGGATTAATTACAAATGGCAGACAATCTATCCAAAATCTATTATTTCTCCAGATTTGCTTTTAAACCTCTGATGTTCTTCAAATATTGAGCAGAGATGACTTTGTTTCAGAAAAAATGAACCTGGTCCCCTGCCTAACTAAGTTCAAGAGGAAGCAGCCTGGAAATTGAGACTTTTCAAGACAGCTTGCTAAAAGGTAATAGAGTTTTAGAAAAAGGTTTTTTTTTCTGCTTGATGAAACCATGCAACTTCCTACATTTGAATTCAAAGATCAAATGTTCAACACAATGTTTGGAGCATCCTTTTTAAATGTGAGGAATATGGCAAGAAAATTCATGAGATGTCAACCACATTCCTTAAGTAGAACCGTTGAATCAATTTGACACAACAGCAAATGCTAGCTTCCAAACTTTGTTAATTATGAAAATAAACCCTTGTTTATTTAAGCTTCTTCTTATTAAGTATTGCAGAGGAAAACATCTTTGGTAGGTGATAGATTGATACATGTAATGAACAAAGCTGTCAAAACAATTTTTAAAAGACATTTCTAATGTAAACTGAGTTTCCCAATTCTAGTTAGCCCATGGACACATATGGGATTTCATTGAATTCATGACTAATAATTTTATGGTATTTAATTTTCAGGTGCATTGGAATAAAATTCACCCCTCACCTGCACACACAGACATCTGAGTGTAATCAAGAGCATGTTATTAAGTAATCAGAAATATAATAAATCCATTCTGAATCCCTCTGAGCAAAATTTCAATTTAACTTGGAATTTTTCTCCCACCACTGGTTAATGCTGTATCTGTGGACTTAGGACCACTTACTATATTAAAACTACCAAATACCTTATTGTATGGAAATAAAGAATTCCTCTTTGTAATGTCTATAATATTCTGCAGAAGACACAAAGCAGTGCTTCTATGTGATGGCTTATGTTTTGGTAGTAAATATATTTAGTTTTCACTTATAAAAGTTTTGCTTTCATAGGAATCCAACCTAAATCCAAAGAGGTTTCTTCTGATGACCTCATGGCACAATAGGGTGTCTGACTTCAGAGAGGTTTCTTCAGGAATCAATCCAAAAATAATTCATTCATAATTACCTACTTTTCAGCAATATATATCTTGTCTTACTAGCAGTTCTTTGTTCTGGGTCACTTTTTCCTGAGGAAACCTAAAAGTATGAATCAACTGTTTTTCATTAATGTTGAGGTGTTAAGTCTAAAATCTGGAAGACCTGGATTTATTCAAAGATACATTCTGCCCATCAAATTCCAGCTTTCTTTTCCCATCTTCCTAGTCATTTCCCATCTCATAAATTATCTAACTTCTTGATTAAACTTTTTATACACTTTTGAGACAAAATCTCTTGCTGTAGCTGCCCAAGGGAACAGAAGTCAGTCTCCATATTATAGCTTGAATAAAATAATGTTTTTTCCAGACCATATGGATAATCTCATATTAATTTCCATGTCTGACTCAACATTACCAATTTCCACAAAATCTTGCTGCCTCTCTCACTCATAACTAGACCAAATGCCAAATTAGGTCAACCTTGTTTCTCCAGGCTTGTGACAGATATTGCAGGTCTCCTATTCAGAATTTCCTTCCCAGATTTCTAAATCTAAAACCCAAATCCAGTCATCCCAGATTTCTCTTCATATGCCTCACTAGTAAATCTATATAAGCTGAAAAAGCAGTCACTGAAAGGCTTTATTTTACCTAATACTGATATTACCAAATATCTTCATATGTTTTCTTGTTTGATTGCTTATTTTTTTTCATGTTTTACTTTGCTGGCTATATTGTATATGTACCACTTAAAATACATTTCAGAAGTGGGTGATTAAACAATAAATCAAGAAATAAAGATAAAATTTGTTAAAGACAGCAAACATATTAACAGCAGAATCTGGACTAGAATACATTCTGTTCTCAATTTGATTATCTTTCCATTGAACCATATTATTTCTTAAACCTTCAATAAGGATCCCTTTTATATTTTAAAATATTATTTTTAAATATTAATTCCATAAAAGAAACACAATTATTATTGTGTAAAAACTATTATTATGAAATAAGTATTATATTATTCTTTTTTAAAGTTATGCGATAATAGTAATAATTATTATTATTTTAGAGACCAAGTCTCACTATGTTGCTCTGACTTGAGTACAGTGGTTATTCACAAGCACACAAGCACAATTCCACTAGTGATCAGCACAGGAGTTTTGATGTGCCCTATTCTCAACATGGGCTGGTTCAGCTCTTCTTCAGCAAACTGGTGGTCCATCACTCTCAGGAGATCAACATATTGATGCCAAACTTAGGATAGACACCCTATCAGCCTAGCGCTCTACAGCCCAGAACTCTTGGTCTCAAGCGATACTCCCACCTCAACCTCCGGAGTAGTTAGGACTACAGACATGTGCCATGGTGGTCAGCTGTAATAATAATTATTATTCTCTTAACATGTCTGGAAAGGCAGAATTCTAGTGTACCTGGGTGTGCATTCTGTGTAGAATCCCCTCCCCTTGAGGGTAGGCAGGACCTGTGAATATGATAGATGGTCTTTCCTGTGATTAGGTCACCTTATATGACTAAGGTGAGGGAATATTTTAGATGTAATTAACATCGCAAATCAGTTCATTTTGTGTTAATCAAAATGAGGATTACTCTATGTGGGCCTAACTTAATCTATTGAAAGTCTTTAGAACATGAACTAGACTCTTTTTGAAGAAAGAGATTCTCCTGCTGGCTTTGAAGTAAGTCGTGAGACTCTAGGATCAAAGAGCAGCTTCCAGTCAGCAAGGATGTAGAGACTTCAGTCATACAAGTACAAGGAACTGAATCCTGCCAACAACATGAATGAGCTTGGAAGATGACTCTGAGCTTCAGCCCTGCCTATAATCACCTTGATTGCAACCTTGTGATACCTTAAGCAGGGAACTCAGACCACCTGTGCCTGGACTAGGGACCCATTGTAACTGTGAAATAAGTAATGTATTTATTTATTTATTTATTTATTTATTTATTTATTTATTTATTTATTTATTTATTTGAGATGGAGTCTCGCTCTGTTGCCCAGGCTAGAGTGCAGTGGCGCGATCTCGGCTCACTGCAAGCTCCGCCTCCTGGGTTCACGCCATTCCGCTGCCTCAGCCTCCCAAGTAGCTGGGGCTACAGGCGCCCGCCACGACGCCCGGCTAGTTTTTTTGTATTTTTAGTAGAGACGGGATTTCACCATATTAGCTAGGATGGTCTTGATCTCCTGACCTGGTGATCTGCCTGCCTCCGCCTCCCAAAGTGCTGGGATTACAGGCGTGAGCCACCACACTCGGCCTAAGTAATGTATTTATTTTAAGTCACTTGATCTGCGATGATTTGTTATACAACAATACAAATCTAATACAGTATTCCTTTGAAAATATTCTACGCATATTTCACCAGGCCTTATTATAGATTCTTTGGAGAAGTAGAGGAAAATATCACCCTTAATTTTTTTATCTTTTAGAAGTTGCTGTAATTGTCCATCATTTCAAAATATCAACATTGCTCTCTGTCTCAAATTGACTTTATTATAAACTATTACTCTCACAGTTTGTTGTTAATTCATCTCAAATAGTGCTTTTAACCAATCTAGTTATTATTTGTTGTCTGTTACTCTCAAGAACTGTGAAGGTATGGAGTTTTACCTCACATACAAGCTAAGGAGCTAGCCTTCCAAGGTTTTATAAATTCTGGCAGAGAACAGAGCCTCTTGCTTAAGAAATAATGGATTTTATTATTCATGACATGGCAAGAAGTATGAGTTTTATGTTCACCTCAGTTACCTTTGACAGTCAAAGTTCCAAAGCAAATGCAGAACGTTCTATGTGGATGGTGGGCACACAGTAGATGTGTGCCCTAGCTGAAGAACTATCTGATATTAGATTAAGCTGTTAGAAAACTTGTTCAGCTTCTCCTCTGGAGGCAGACATTATTTTTATTATTTTTGAAGACCATAAATCTGCCTTCTGCTCCTAAGGGAGATGCTATTTCTGTCTTCCAAAGCTGTTTGCTCTACAAACATTCATAAAAAAATAGTCCTGAGCAAAAGCTGGAATAACTCTGTTCAAAAGAGGTACAGAAATGTGATAGAACATGGAGAATTATTTCTTATCAGCTGCTAAGTTCTGTATTTGAAATTTTAATTGATTTTTTAATTTTACAGTGAAATTAAAATCTTTAGTTCATTTAGGGGAGCAATAGTATCTTTTGCATATATTCTTCTGCTTCTTTGAAATGCAACCCAATAATAGTAAAGCAATAAATTCATAACCTAATGTGACTATTTATATTTTAGGGGAGAATCCTTCTCTTCTTTCAATATTCCCACCGTGGCTCAAAAAGAATAGGGTACTCTTTCCTTCTCTATTGCTTCCCTCTCTGCTATCCACTTACTCTATCTGAAGAATGTCTGAATTAGTGGACACAGAATCTACTCTGCAGGGTTGGTCAGACCCAGAAGCTACATATACGTAACAATCTCTAGATTCATGGCAGGGAGCAGGAAGTTTGTAGATTGAAACAAGTTTCTAAACTAGACATTACTAGAAAAACCAGATTGTGGTAGTTATTTGGCATTCACTAGGACATCAATAGAGCAGATGCTTTGGTGTCCTCTTCCTGCACATGCCAGTCCAGCAGCACGTAGGGCACGTTTATGCTTATCCTCAGAAAGCTTAGTGAACCACCTCAGCTTCTTCCTAGGGAGCTCAGTGTCATCTCAGTGAGTGGCTTGTTTTGACATCCAGTGAGTCTCACACGTACCCCAGTGTTTTCCCAATGAGTTGTGCAGGCACCTGAGAGTGTAGTGCCCTGCTTACCATCCCTAGCTCATAACATAATAGTAAACTCTTGATGTGCAGTGGCATGATCTTGGCTCACTGCAACCTCCACCTCCGGAGGTCAAGCTATTCTCCTACCTCAGCCTCCTAAGTAGCTGGGATTATAGGCACGCGCCACCATGCCCGGCTAATTTTTGTATTTTTAGTAGAGATGGTGTTTCACCATGCTGGCCAGGCTGGCCTCGAACTACTGACCTCGTGATCCGCCCGGCCTGGCCTCCCAAAGTGCTGGGATTACAAGCGTGAGCTACCACGCCTGGCCACAATAGTAAACTTTTAATATTCAATATACCATGAACACGGTAACCTTCACCGATATTATTTCCATGTTTGAGGTCGGGGGTGGTTCTTTACATTTTTTTTTCCTCTGGGTGCTCTATCTCAATCATACAAGTAGTACCTGTTCACTGTTTTCTACCAGTGAATGGGAGAGTTTAACAGGAAAAGGGGTTTGTAAGCACACATTAATAAGTTATTGGAAGAAGTTTCTTTTCCCATATGATTCTGTCTCCATAGAGATACTCAGTCCTGAAAAGTAAATAGAAGCTTACTCTCAGATGGCTCAACCTTAACAGTTTTCTTTCAGTAAATGAAAAAGTTTAACACAAAAAAAGGAGTTTATAAGCACACATTCAGAAGAAGTGACTGGAAGAAATTTCTTTTGTTATATGTGTCTATAGGCCTATAGAGAAATCCAGCCCTGAAAGGTAAATAGAAGCTTGCTTTCAGAACAACTTATCATTAACAATTGTCTTTCAATAAATTGAAGGGTTTAAGATTTTGCAAGTACAATGTCCATTTTACTCAACTTATTTTGATTCTTCAGAATTTTCTTTACCCATTAGTAGTTAATTTCTATTATTAGTTAATGTTTCTTTATATTAAACTTCCTTTGTACAAATTACTCTTCTTTCTTTCTCATCACTGATACAAAGTTCTATTCTTGATAAAGGGAGAGAATGGATTTCAGGCCTATTGCTAACCATTTTTAACTTGATAAATATATAATAACCCAAAACTTCAGGGACTAAACCAGAGATCTTTGCATTGTTGCTTATATATACCCTGAAATATTTTTTAAATAAGTATTTCCAGCATAGTTTCAATTTTCAAATGTTTTTAATGAAAACTTTAGTTACCAACTTGATATAACCATTACCTATTATAAAATTTTATGAACAAAATCTGCTTTAACTTACAGAAATATTATGCTTGGCTTTGCTGTCCTTGAAAATATATTTTTGTTCCAACTTCTTCATACACATTCTAATATATTTTAGGGTATTACTGTATTTAATTGGTCATCATATCACAGATATCTATAACAAAGTAATTATCTGGGTTTAATTATAAGTTTTATTACTACCTACAACCGTAAGTTTCTGGATGTTAACATTTTCTTCTAAATTGGGTATTCATTATATTTTACAAGTATATAATCGATTGAACAACTAAATATTACCAGTTTTAACAAGTTATTTTTAAACATACATGGCAAAATCTTACCATAAATATAAATCTTAATAAAATGAATCATAATCAAGCTTTTCCTCAGATATCAGAGTGATATGAACTGTTAAAAACTAATTTATGCAATAGCTTTTATATTACATCTTAAGGAGAGAAACTATTTGTTTATAGAAATAGCAAGAAATCTAGTTCTTCCAAGATTTTTGATATACATTAGTAGAATTCCTGAGAAGGCACTGGTTTCAGAAACAAACAGGCATTAGATGTAAAAAATAACAATAATAAAACAAACATTAAGTACTTATATGGCATTTCTCTACACTAAATGCCTTACACACATACATCATCTGATTTAATTTTCACAAGACTCTAATAGTTGTTATTCTTATGATGCTACAGAGGAAGAAATAAAAACTGGTGGAATAAATAAATTGATCTGAAAGAGAAAAAGATTTGGGATTCAACACAATTTACTTAGAATCAAAAGCTCATGTTCTTGACCACTTAACCATCTTGCCTCACATAGGGCATTGCATTACCTACACCTGTAAAGAGAAAAATTTATAGCTGAGTTTGAACTGGAGTAAGGTAAGACTAAACAAGCAATCTTAAGAAACAGTGAATTACATCTGAAAAACATAGAGGAGTTATAATTACAACATATGTTACTATATGGTCTTAAGAAAAAATGAGCCGTATCTTCAGCAATATCCATTTCATTTCATAAATAATTATCACTTTTGATGTCTTTCAATATTCTACATATTTTGCTTAATTACTTTTTTCTGTCATTCCCATTAGAATGTAAGCTTCATGAAAGCATGCATTTTTTTATTCTTATCACCCAGAGGAGTGCTCGATGAATATGTGTGCAGTGAGTAGAAGACAAACGTTTTGTCTAAATTAGCTTATGGTTTTCTTTAATTTCCAGAATCAATGTTTATTTATTGATTTTTAAATGATTTTCACAATGTCTTATAATTTATCCCTTCTTCTCAAGGTAATAACTCTTCAATGAGAAAATAATGACTAATAGTGGATTTATTTTCCATCCTTAATTACTTTCTCCTAAAGATATAAATAGCTGTATCACAGATACAGTTTTAATGGTATTACTTCAATTACATTCATAAAATAGTTTGGGAAGGTGAGCTTTTATTGATTTTCTATAACTCATGGTTAATTAGGGTTATAGAATTATATGGTTAATTATTTCAGCCATTCATAAGATCAGACACAGAGTAGCTCTAAAGTTTTCTACATTTTTTAAAAGCCCTGTTTTTTAAATATACACCTTTGAATTCTCATGATTTCATATTAGGTAGTTTAACTTAATTATCCATGAAGACAGCGATTTTAATAATTAAAAGCTTTGAATTTTTTTCTCTCAACCATAGGCAATTTAATGTCACCATATTAAAAAATTCCCCCTAAAATAAACAAAATTCAAATGTTAAAAGAAAACTTTCTGCTGTTTTTCTTTTTATTTATTTATTTATTTATTTTTGGTTCTTATCTGGAATGGCATCTAGCTTCAGCAAACTCAGAACAAAAGTCAGAAGCTACTAATCAATGAGGCTTTCTGCTGGTATTGATAAAGATATATAAAGAATATTTTTGGCGGGGCGTGGTGGCTCGCCCCTGTAATCCCAGCCGTTTGGGAGGCCGTGGCGGGAGGATTACCTGAGGTCAGGAGACCAGGCTAGCCAACATGGCGAAACCTAGTCTCTACTAAAAAATACAAAAATTAGCCAGGCGTGGTGGCGGGCACCTGTAATCCCAGCTGCATGTAAGGCTGAGGAGGAGAATTGCTTGAACTCAGGAGGTGAAGGTTACAGTGAGCTGAGATCACGCCAGTCTGGTTGACAGAGACTCCATCTCAAAAAATCAAAAACAAAAACAAAACAACAACAACAAAAAGAATATTTTTGTATAATTTGTGTATTCAGCATCTCTGTAGAAGAAAACCAAACAAAACCAGACAACAACAAGGAAATGAAACAAAATGAGACTAAACGAATTATAATTTAAGAGTCATTAAAATTTAGTTTCAAGACAGCTTCTATTTTTATTCCTGGTTTATATAATGAGTACTATGCCAAATTCACTTAAATCATGATATTAATTTGTGAAGTTGGCCAAGTTCAACCAGAAAATGTTACAATTCCTCAAAGCATATAAAAAATTGTAACAAATTGTCATATATTTATTATGTCCATTACTGTCTACATCTAAAATAAATTAACTTCTATGTTTTACAAAGTAATTATCTAAACAAAAAATATGCAGTAGTGATTATTTCTAATGTTGTCAAGTAACATAAGAAGCACTAGAATCCATAACATGAAAGTACTAATGAAGCATCTATTAATATTCATGTAGTCATTTGAGGAGAGAGCTTATAATAGAAGACTCACAGAACTTTTTCTCCTAGCTTAATACCAGTACAAAAAATAATAATAATAATCTTTTTTTTTAGGCACATAAAATACAATTTGGAGTATTTTGAACTTTTTCTTCTCACAAGTCAAGTGTTCACTTTTGTTGAAAAATAATCATTTGAGGGAAATTCATTTTATTCTCTTAGTTCAGTGAGTTGTAAATTCTGCTCTTTCTTGATTTCATGCAATAGGGAAGTAAAAAGAATGACTTGCACCACAAATTTTATTGAGCATAAGAAAAAGCTAAGATTTGAACCAATTCAGAGATCACATCTACCTATATTCCACTGGGTTAAGAAAGAAATGAAATGTGGATTTATGGTCTTTTAAATCACTAATATGAACCATTAGCAGAACTAACTTTAAATCTATAACCAGGATTGTGTTAAATGGGAGATATATTTTTGTCCAAGGTTAACACATAACAAAATCTAGTTCCCTCAAAATGCATGATTTTATATCAAAATTTATTTAAGTAGAGCCAGCCAAATGAAGGCTAGCAACAAGAAAAAGAAATAAAGCAAGGAACAAAAAAATCATCTAATCTAGCTATCTAATCCATTTTTTTTTTAAATAGAAGTGTCAGCTAAGGTCCAGGAAATTAAAGGACTTGTCAAATAGTTTATACCAATCTATATTCAATTCAACCTAGGACTCTGATTTTCTTTTTTTTTTTTCTTTTAGATGGAGTCTCGCTCTGTTGCCCAGGCTGGAGTCCAGTGGTATAATCTCGGCTCACTGAAAACTCCCCTACCACCCCAGGTTCAAGTGATTCTCCTGCCTCCGCCTACCGAGTAGCTGGGACTACAAGCACGTGCCACCACTCCTGGCTAATTTTTTGTATTTTTAGTAAAGATGGGGTTTCACCATGTTAGCCAGGATGGTCTTGATCTCCTGACCTCATTATCCACCTGCCTCAGCCTTCCAAAGTGCTGGGATTACAAGCGTGAGCCACCACGCCTGGCCTGAAATTTCAATAAGAGCTTCAATCATTTAAATAATTCTAGTACATGAATTAAAAAATATTAACCTAAACATCTGAGAAATAAGAATTTAAATTTGTGTCTATCTTTGCTCAGGGGTAGGCTGAAGCCACTTTTTCTGCCTTAAAGGAGCTGATTTTAAACTTTTCAGAATTTGCAAGACAATTTCTAAAAATAATCATTAAAACTTAAATTACACAAGTTTACAATTAAATAAGTTACATAAAAAGATAAATACTTAAAACTCATTACTTTTTAATCATGTTGCTACATTTTGCTATTTTTTATGGTCTTAACACTATTAGATCTTTTATATCTTGATAGTGAAAATGCTAAATGATATATAATGGCACACATCTTCCATCTCAGTATTCAATGCCATCATATTGGTAGCCAAAACCTGGCCACGATGGAAGTATATTTCCATAGAAATAAACAAACACTGTAAATCAGGGTTTGATTTATTGTTTTACTAATTGCCTAGACAAAGTAAGATTTGTTTTACTAATCACCTAGACAAAGTAAGATTTGAAAAATACGATATTTCAGTTCAAACTTAAAAATGTGTCATGTTTATTGCTGCTACATTATGAATTTTTCAAAATATGAGGATATATTCTTCCATATTTCAAGAATTATTATCAGATTCAGACAAGAAATTGCTGAAATCATTAAAAAAGAGGTAGAGTTCTGACAGGCATCCTCATCATCTCACTTTTATCTTATTATTCATGTAAAAGAAAATATCAACCAATATGACTGTTGGAAGTACACTCACTTGTCAATTATAACTACAGTTAGGCTATAATTAAAGGAGTTCAGTAAAAATCAAATAAATCATTCTGTGAGAATAAATAGGATACATATAAGTTATAATAAAGAATATTGTATATTTTATTGTTTGTAAATTGCATGCCACACACACTTTACACCAGCAAAATTTACACTGAACTTATGTAGATATGCTTATGCATACATTTCTTCCATTTATCTATATCTATGTCATTTACATCTATATTTAGCTTCCTGTATCTTTAAAATGGGAATCAGGTAACAAATCTTTATAATCCTAAATGACTTTTAAATCCCCCCCCCAATTACTTTAACTTTATAAAGCATGTTGCTATTGTTTTCATAATGTTATACAGTGACATTTTTCTCAAAAAAAGCAAAAATTGCCACAATGTATTTCATTTCCTTTAGTAAAGACCAAGAAAATAAAAAAGGTTTCTATCTATTTCTCTCTGTCCTCTAGATTACATCCACTTCATTAATGCAAGTAATATTTACATTATTTCCTCTGTCATCTTTCTTTCACTTCTCTTTCCATTACTTCAGAATTTTTCTTCATGATAACCAAAATTTTCTGTCAAAACCATAAATATGATCCTGTAAATACTTCCCCATCTCCTCTTTACAATAATGTTTCTTATTAAAAGAAAACTAAATAAAGCTAACAAAAACACTTCTAACAATTTTCCATGACAGATTAATCCTGAGATTCGCAAAATTTTCTATTAAGAGCCAGATAATAAATATTGCAGGCTTTATAGGCCATACAGTTTAATATCGCAACTACTCAAGCCTGCTGCTGTAGCATGAAAGCAGCCATAGACAATATATAAATCAATGAGTGTAATTTGTTAAAATACAATTTCATTTACAAAAACAAGCAGTGGAAAAGATTTGCTGTAGGGCCATGGATTGCTGACTCCAGTACTAGATCATTGTAACCTGGTTCAATAAGAGTTAATCATCTTCATCACCCAACAATTCTTTCCAAGTACACTAAGTACAAGACATAATTATGTCCATTATGTCCAAATCTGTCATTCACTTTTTCATTTCATTGTTCTATGCCGTATACTTTGCTTTAGTCATTCCTATTACTTAATACATTTGTTCATTGCTTTTTTTCTGCACCTGCAGCCATTCTCCTCAAGAATAAGAGATGGAAAAATGTGTAAAGTGTTTTATATGTTTCTGTCTTGAAATCTTGGTTGTTGAATAATTACTCCAGAAAAATAATTAAGAAAGGGGATTTGAAAGTGAGTTGAGGGAAAATAACAACATCTGTTTGAAATATATTAGTTCTTTTTAGAAATCTTTGAGTCAGGTTTAGGTGTTTAGTAAGAAGCTACCTGATCCTAAGATCAAGAGAACTATCTTAAATACACTTGAGTATTATCGTGATGTAAATGTTAAGAAGCCCATGGGAAGCTTCAATATATAAAGAACTCAGAAGTCATCCCTTTCATTCTTAAAACAAGACAAATATAGACAAACTCAAAGTTAATGACTATTTTTAAAACCATCAGAGAACTGAGGTCACAAGTCTAACCACTATCCCAAAATCTGAAGAGACAGGTTGCTATGGGTTGAGTTGAACAAAAATATATGTTGAAATTCTCATCCTCAGTACCTGATAATGTTACTTTATTTGGAAATAAACTGTTTATATAGTTAAGCTAAAATAAGGTCATTAGAATGAGTCCTAATCCAATGTGACTAGTGTCCTAATGTAAAAGGGGATTTGGATATAGGGACAGACATACACAAAAGAAAAATCATGTAAAGACCCCAGGAGAGTGCCATCTACAAGCTAAGGAACAGCTAGGCTACCAGAAACTAAGAGAGAGACACAAAACAGATTCTCCCTCACTGCCCCTCATAAGGAAGCAACCTAACCATGGGACTGGACATGATCACTCAAGAAAATTATATAGAATGATAAATGAGAAGCTGAAGGACAGGACTATATTTTTTAAAACCTAAACAATGAATAACTGGTTAAAAATCATGACTGATAAAATACGTAATACTTAAAGAAAACCCATTCTTTTTCCAAAAAAGCAAGTTAATTTTGAAATTTTCAGATGATTTTAAACAATCCGAAGTGTTTCACCAAGATTCTAAGTTTTAATGTCTTTTTTTTTTTTTTTTTTTTTGAGACAGAGTGTCACTCTGTCACCCATGCTGGGGTGTAGTGATGCGATCTCAACTCACTGCAACCTCTGCATCCTGGGTTCAAGCAATTCTGCCTCAGCCTCCCGAGTAGCTGGGATTATAGGTGTGTGCCACTATGCCTGGCAAAGTTTTGTATTTTTTGTAGAGATGGGGTTTCACCATGTTGGCCAGGCTGATCACTTACAGAGAAGAGGTGGTTATTAGTCAGTAAGAAGTAGGAACTTGAAATCCTTTTACATTGTACCAAATTGGTCTCAGGTGTCTCACTGAAACTAATCTTTGCACTATGTTCTAAACTCATACTACCAGATTGGTCAGAGAGGATAAACCCATTTTAAGTGTGACAGTTTATAGAATTTATTTGCAGTAAGTTTGAGCTTTTGGAATGTGAGGTATAGATGATCGCATATGTCACTGCTTAGAGAGGTACCATTTACTCATATCCTAGAATGCTGAAACTGTTTAAGGGGGATTACCAAATGGTATCTAACTGAAGGACATCATATACAGATTTAAATTCGTTAATCTTTGGAAAAAGAAGAATTTCAATGCAAGATATAAAAAACAGGAAAATGTTAATATTTCAAAAATTAAGTTAAATTTAATATAGCTGATAACAGGGATTTGAAGAAAAATAAATAAATAAAAAAGAAATGCTTCCAAAATGTGTAACAAAAGAGAGAAAAGTATCAAATTATCACACAGCAGGAGCTCACTAATTTTTTCCTGATTGATTTGAACATATAAAAAAGTTACTTCCTTGATATATAATACTGAGAGAAATGAAATAAAATAATAAATAACTTAAACCAGGTATTTTTCTATTAAATATAATGATTTATGAACTAATGGTGATTATGAGCCTAAAGGAATTAGGTTGAGAAACACTAACATTTGTGTACCAGAACAAATACAATGGGTCTTAAAAGAAGCATTCTGGCAAATATCAGATTAAAAATGTACTATTTTTATGCTCAGTGGAATAAGACTTTCAGTCACAGAAACATGCTGAAGATTTGCAAGGTGTGTGAATGGTTCCACAGGTGAATCATAGGTTTGTATTGTGATACATTTCAATCAATACTAGGTAAAAAAAAAATAAGAAAAGAAGCTTAAAAGTTACTAGACACTTGGCAAATACTTTCACAAATACTTCAAGAGTTTTAAGTAAAAGAAGCCAGCACTGCTCCATGACATTTCTGGCTTTTAGAAAGCTTTGTCGGCTGGGCATACTTTTCTAGGAGAAAACAAAAGGAGCAGGAATTATGTACTTTTGGCCACACTAATGGAATCCAAGCAAAAAGTAAAAGTTAGCTGTAAGCAATTGTGAATATATAAGTAATGATAAATAATGTTGAATTATTATACATCAGAGCTATAACTGGTAAGAGGAAGCTTCAACACAACATCACAGTAAGTGTCATGTTCATATGTTCAGAAGTTATAATTTTTAGAAGTTGATTTAACATCACATCTGTTTTATGTAATTTTCAAGCCTTAAAACAACTTCAAAAATAAGTGCAAATATCAAGGTTATGGTTGAATTGGGAGTATGTTACAGTTATAGTGAGTAATGCTAACACCAGCCTACCAAAAATTTAGACACACACTCAGGTTTTTAATGAAAAAAGTAATTTCTAAACTTGTTGTGTTTATACACTTCCTGGAACAATGTCAACTGAGGACCCCAACTTAGTTCTTTAAGCTTAGTTCATAAAGTGCTAATTATGTGTTTTTTTTAATTTCAATAAAGGTGGAAAATATTGGCAGTTGCCAGGTCTTGCAATTTTTTCTATTTTTATGTAACATCACGTATTGCAGAGTATTAGGTTAAAACTTACTTTTAATTATTAAATTGTTGTGCTCTTGTTGTAAATTTGAAGGCATGACATTTGGGGATAACATTTAAATAAAAACATTACTGTGGGCTTGGTGGGAATGCCTGCTGGGGCTTCTAGCACTGTGGATCTGCATCTGCCTGAACTTTTCAGGCCTGTGCAGCTCCATATTCCACCAGGGTCTGCCCAGTGAACAGATCAGGTGAGTCTGTGACTCCACTCATGCCTGCTGCTCCTAGCTGGGCAGTACACGTTGGCTGGGACTTCCAACACAGCAGACCCTCCTCTGCCTGAACTCAGCAGTTGGGCACAGCTCCATGTTCCTCTGGGAAGCACACAGATGGTGGATCAGGTGACTCCACCCACACCCACTTCTCCTAGATGGGCAGGACTCGCTGGCTTGGGTGATGCCTAAGTGTAGGGGTCCCACCTTCCGAACACTGAGAGGGGTGAGACACCCACGTTTGTGAGCCACAGAGGAACTGAAGTATGCTTCCCCCTTCAGGGCCAGTCTGGGAATGATACGGTCTGTCTGCTAACCACAGCCCCTTCCCTAGGGAGCCCTACAGCCCAGCACATCTAACACAGAAAATATGAGTGGGGTGCCAGGGATTGGAAGAGGCTCCTCCAATGCCCAGGAACAGACTTGATCAGGGGGTCATCTGTCTCCTCTTGCACCACAGAGCACTACTGCCAATGCACCAAAATACAAAAGAGCCATGTGTCTAAGTAAGAGCCTATTTGGTGGCCAACACTCTTAAGCACCACCTGCTGGATCCAGGATAGTCTGTCCATCTCAAAGTCCTTAACCTTAATCACATCTGCACAATCTCTTGCTGTGTAAGGTAACATATTCATAAGTTTCAAGGATTAGGATGCTGACATCTTCAGGGAGGAACATTATTCTGCCTGCCATAAATATGTTGAAAACACTGCTATTTTGAAAAAGTTACTGCATATGTTAAATGGCAGTATCTGGCAGAAAATAAAGTCTTGGGTAGGTCTACAGACACTAATAGTTTGTGTGTGTCGTGTGTGTGCGTGTGTGCACGCGCGCACATGCCTTGGAGGAGGACACAGAATTTGACAGAGATTTTTACCTAATATATTAATTAAATAAAAAATTAATTAAATTCCTATGATTTTTAATCTCACACTGTCACTGCTACCAATTTGAGGTTACAATTAGAGAACAAATATATCATCTAAATTAATTTAATTTTTAACTCCCAAATTATTTTCATTTTTACTGCAACCCATTCATTTAATACAATTTCTTGTCAACAGCATTAATGACCATAAATATGAAAATTTTGTTTGGTCCTATAAACGAAGCAAAAGAAATATCAATAACCTATGATATCATGCTTGAAAGGATTTTTCCCTTCCTAATTGAAAACAAACAGAAACTAAGCTAAGTTAAATGAATGTGTAATCTTTCATTGCAAAACAAAGGTTATTAATTGATGCAAGTATGTACATAGTTATAAACAGGAGAAACAATTGATTAACTTTGGAAAAGTCTAACCTTAAAAATGTAAAATGTCAATAAGAATTAAAGAACCACATTTTAAATAGTTCAGAATATTTTTTAATGATTTCTCAGCATTTGCTTATGACTGTGGGCTTAGTAAAGAAGGAATATATCTGCTTTTGAAGGGCTCTTTATTTGACATTTTCTAAAGGTTTTTTTAAGAACATAAAGTCTGTTCCTACTTAAATGAAACAAAGTAGTGAAGGAGTTTTAGCAAACCCTCGTCAAGGACAATATGTTCATGCTGTAATTCTTTTGAGAACCACCCTATTATTTGCTGTGACAAATTTCAGAGGCTATTAACTCTGGTTTTCACAAGTGTAACTTCATTTTCCTACAACTGAATACATTTATTTCTTAAATCCCAATTTTGCCACATGGTTAAAACTTAATCCCAACTTATGTTATTCACTTGGATGTGTTACTTTTTCTTTTTCCAGTGAAGACTGTCCTATCTTTTTCATTCTTTCTCCTCACAATTGCATACACAGTTTAGGAATTTGCAAGCATCAGGTAGAAGTGAATAATACTCAGTTGTGTGGTCTGTGCTGTCATCCAACGCACCCTCTGCTATCACAGCTTGCGCTCCACCAGAGGGTTTAAGTGAGATGCTCTGAACTTGCCTTGGGTGCATTTCCTTAAACATTCCAGGCAGCAACCTGTCGGTAAACTGCTACCCTTCCCGCAACATGGTGGTTTGTTTCCACCTTCCAGGGTCCCAATTGTAAAGGAGAACATACATTTCCTTTCTCCTCAGGTCCCTACATCATTCTGGAGATTTGTCAAATTCAAATAAGTATTTAGAGCTATAGGCATGGTCCAGAAATGTGGCCATGCCTGTCTGTCATCAATAATGACTAACCACTGACTAACCACTGACTGTCGTCAGTAATGGTTAAATTTAAAATTGAATAAGCTAATTAAACTAATACACTTCTAAAAACTGCAAAATTTAAAGTAGGTAGATTTGGTTCATATAAAAGTATAACACTTAAATGGGTTTGTTGAATCAAATTTAATATATCATTTAATATATTTATTTACATATAATATAACTTATTGCTAAAAGTATCTGTGGCAGGAACATTGTTCAGAAATCTGTGACACAGGGACATTACATTGTTATAATGCAGGACTCGAACTCCTGTGATAAGTCTGGTTGGAACTGTCCTGCCTACAAACAGAATCTGATGAATCTCTCTTTGATTTCACCTTCTGTCTTTCTGACTTCCATGTCTCAGTGTCTAATATAGTGCCTAAAATACATTAGGCACCATCAAATATTATATGAATAAATGATTTCATAAAGTATAAATCCCTCAACAAATAAATGAATAAGTGAAAGAAACTAATTTATACTGTATTGCACATGTAGTGAAAAAATTTTTTTAAATGTAGGAAAAAATAAAGGTGAAGAAGGAAAGTTTTCAAGTGAAGAGCTAAATATAATTATTTATTTGTTTTTTTGAATTATGAAGAGAAGGATGGAGATTAACAGTCTCCTTTTTGGAGTAGGTACAATTTAAGTTGAAGAAACTCAAATAAATAAGAAAATATATGGTTAATAACATATGGGCAAAACCAAGTTAACCAAGTTGAAGAAACTTAAATAAAATTTTGTTGAACTTTGAAGAGAAAGGTGAAGAATAATAGACTCCTTTTTTGGAGTAGGTACAATTTAAGTTGGATTGTCAAAGATATACGAAATAAGATTGATAATCTATAGTCAAAACCAAATGTTTCAACATGTTGCAAACAGCAGGGGTTTACAACTCAGGCAAGCTACAAAGTTGGTTTGAGATAAGCTTTCTGTTATAGATGCTTTTGTTTTGTTAGTCTCCTTTGCTGAGCAGTCTGCCCAGGTCTAAGAAGGAAGTGAGATTTTTGTCAAGTCAGTTTTGCATTGATCTGACTCTAGCTGGAGTACTGAGTTCAGTTCTGGGCATTTCATTTGGGCAAACTGAAGCCCATGCAGAAGAGAGTGAGAAAGAAGAAGAAAGGTTGGCAAACAATGAAAGATTAGAAAGTTTCAGGAGGTTGAAAAGAAGCCTAATGGGGATTTGATAGCTGTTTTCAAATATTTGAAAGGTCATCATGCAGAACGATTACTGGAGTTGTTCTGTGCAGTGCCACAGGACACATAGTTGGTTAGTTCAGGAAAGCAGATTCTAGCTGAACATAAGATGGGGCTTTTCTACAACTAAAGCTGATTTAAATGGAGGAAATTGTGCCACAAAATATTAAATGGGCTAGGCGAAGGCTCAAATCATCTATCAAATATTAAAGAGGAAATCTCTGCATTGAGTAAAAACTAGAGTAGATGAGCTCAGGTCACTTTGAGTTCTAAGATCCTACTTATTCATTCTATAAAACTTCCCATAAGAAGATTATGATGAGCATGTGTTGACATTCAGTTCTTTCATTAAAATTGGCTCCAAGTGTCCTCTACTTAATGGAAATAGAGAATGAATAAAAAAGCCAAAATGAAAGTCTCTTTACATAACTCTAGCCACCCTTGCTAAACACAATTTTTTTTATAATAAGAATCTTCAGATTCATAGTTCAAGGGAAACAAGTACACACAATAATCAGTATAAAGGAGGTAAAGATTTCTTAAAAGCCCATACTACATTTAATGAAAATATAGGCTTCTTTGGGGAGTGTATGTCCACTGTCAGGAGTGCATCCACTGTCACTGCTGCTAAAGTTCTCTGTAAAGAAATGACTCCTGATTGAGGGCATTTTCTGTCAATCCATCAGTTAAGCTCCATATTTTCAAATTCACCCTCATCTGACAACTACCATCCTCTGCCTTGAATTGACAAATAAATGAAATATAAATAATATTAACTTTTTAAAATTAGTGTGAATTTATTCTAAGCATGTGAAACAATTTGACAATGTACTAGTGATTCAAAATACTTGATATAACTTTTTCTGATTTATTTATGACCTGAATGTTTTTTTTACAAATAAATTAGGAGGTTTCTTAAAGGAGTTTCAGAGTGATGCATTTGGTCATTTAGTACAGTGTATATATATTTATTCCAGGCACTGTTATACATAATGAGGATATGATGAGAAAGAGCTAATTCCTTCCCTACCAAGTCTGAGAAGGTGCAGAAAACAAACAAACAATAAATAAGTAAACAATGCACATTTTGAGATAGGTTATTAAGAAAATAAATATTATAAACCTTACAGTGAAACAAAAGATGAAAGTGTAGGGTGGCAACTTAAAAAGACAAAATATCTGAGAAGATAAACACTTATTCTTTACTACTGCCCTGCTATCTGTTGACTTTTCCATTTTCTCTATATTCTAGAGTTGACCATTCACAGAACATTTGCTTATATTGATCACCTAAAAATTGTGTAATTATATCAAACTATCACTACCAGTTTGGGTAAATGTCCAGGCCTCCACAAATAAACCCTAAGTATTTGTGCATGCTTATAAATAGGATTCAACGGAGAGACAGAGTGATAGATTAGGATTTGAAGGGAGAGAACTAATCATCTTGGAAGATGAGAGAGGATGAGATCTGTTGCAAATGTTGAGTGCCTTTTCTAAGAAGAGAGATTCTTCTGTGTTTGTAGCAGAAAAGAAGTAGTAAAATAAATGAGTTGGCTATTTAGTGATGATGGGTTGATAAGAAATCACAGGTCTGATTTTTCTTTAGAATTTCACTAAGGAATATGAAGTGAGAACATCAAGTGAGGGGAGGAGTGGGAACAAGGTGTTGGTTGTGAGGTTGGAAGAGACAGAACACTTATCCTGGAGAGTAGAAAAGCAGGCTTGCTAGGGAAGCTCATTGGCCTACTTAGCAGGACTAAGGGGCTAATTTGGAGGTATAAAATGTGAAAGATACACCAATGTTTTTGATTATAGGATTTTCTCCAGCTGTGTCTACCTGCTCAATTCAAATATTTCAATCCAACCCCAAGCACATTTAACAAAAGTTTTCATTGAATTTTGTTTACTTAATTTTAGTTGAGCATGTGAAACTTTGAATCGAAGGAATATTTCTCACAAGCCTTTTCACCTAAAAGTTATATTTGAAAAAGATAATTGTTATTTTATAATCTTCCAAAACTTATCTTCCAACAAAATCTAGTTACTGATTGGGCTGACTGACAAATTTTAACCTTTTATAATTACATGATTTCAGATCTTCAGAAAAGTTGCAAGAATAGTTCAGAAGTCAAACTTAGAAGAGCAAAATAATAAAGCAATAATACAATGGCACTGCATATAATAATTATAAAAACTAGACAGAGTAAAAAAATTAAATCATTTCAATTGCATTCAATTGGTATGAATTGCAAACATGTGGCTTATTTGCTAAGGGTACTATCCTGCCTTCACAGATACAGGCTTTCGGAATTGTCAACGGAAAATACAGTGATGGGGAAAACACATACCTGGGGGACTTCAGGGGCCAGAGATCAGAGCTCGAGACTGAGAATACAATTGGAAACTTAAAACACATATTCTAGTAGTGAGAAACCTGCAGAATAGTTAAATCCAAATTATAAGCAAAAGCTTTCCAAGTCCTTAACTGTTAGCTAAACAATGCATGTGTGAAGACATAAGGAGGTTTAACAAAAAGAATTAGAAAAAAAGAAAAAGCAGTACGAGGCAAAGATAAATCTACTCTTGATATTTAGAGACGGGGGGCCAGATTCATCAATTTAATATTTTTCTGAACTGAGTGCATTATTTAACTATGCACAGCTGAAGCTGATAGGCTTGAAGTATCTTGGTATAGAGTTGAAAAATGGCATAGCTGCTGGAAATTAATGGGGAATCCCTAAAAGCAAGGAAACTAGAAAATGAATGACCCTAGCAACAAATAATGGCAAACTTAAGTGAAAAACAGCACCTATAATTTAATATAAATTATATAAGTATATATAAAAAATACATAGGATATAAAAACATATACCAAGTATATAAAAATATACTTACGATATATGTGCAATTTTCATATGTTAATTACTATAAATGATTGGTAATATTACAGAAACCTAAATATATGAGGATATACAATGGTCATTAACTAGAAGATAATATTGTTAAAATTTTCTAATTCTCCCCAAAGTAATATATACATTCAATAAAACCTAATCAAAATCCTACAAACTTCTATTTAGAAATTGAGATGTTGATTTTTTAAGTTCCATATGGAAAAGTGAAAGACCTAGAATAAACAAATTAACTTTAAGAAATAATACGTTTAGTGAATTTGCACTACCTGATTTTAAGGCTTACTATAAAGTTATAGCAATCAACACAGTCTGAAATTAAAATCAGAATAGATACATAGGTAAACACTGCAAAATGGAGAATCCAGAAATAGACAAGCAAATATATATGTAGAAAATTATTTTTTTATTTATTTTATTTTTTTTTTAAGATGGAGTCTTGCTCTGTTGCCCAGGCTGGAGTGCAGTGGCACATCTTGGCTCACTGCAACCTCTGCCTCCTGGATTCAAGCAATTCTCCTGCCTCAGCCTCCCGAGTAGCTGGGATTATAGGCATGCACCACCATGCCCGGCTAATTTTTGTGTTTTCAGTAGAGATGGATTTCACCATGTTATCCAGGCTGGTCTCCGACTCCTGACCGCATGATGCACCCATCTCGGCCTCCCAAAGTGCTAGGATTATAGGCATGAGCCACCGCACCTGGCCAAATTTATTTTTTATATAGGTGCAAAGGTAATTCAATAGAGAAAAGAGAACCCAGTGGTGCTATAACAATTAAACAACCATATGCAAAAATTGAATCCCTTACTTCACATCATAGACAGAAATTAACCAGAAATGGAACATAACCTACATTTCTGAGCCACTTCTACAAAGCTACTAGAAGAAAACATAGGATAAAATCCTTGTAACCTACAGTCAAGCATAAATTTCTTAGATAAGGTAAAAAGCACAAACATAAAAGAAAAAAATGAAATAAACTTTATCAAAACCTAAAGGCTGCTCTTCAAAAGACACTACTAAGAAAATAAAAAGACGAATTATAGACTTGGAAGCAATATTTGAATAACACTTGCATGATAAAGACTTTCATTCAGAAATTATAAACTACTCTTAAAATTCAACAATAAAAAACAAACATTCCAATTAATAAATTGCCAAAAGATTTGAACACTTTATCAAAGAAACTATATTGTTAGCAAATAAGACTATGAGAAGATTCTCAAAAAGCATTAATCTTTAGGAGAAAGCAAATTGAAATTGCAGTCAGTTCGCACTCCACGCCTACTAGAATGGTAACACACACACATGCACACACACAGACATACACACACACACACACACAATTCTTGATGTTACCAAGCTCTAGAGAGGATTCACAGCAAATAGAGTTCTCATATAATGGTAGTAAGAGTGCAAATTAGCACAGACACTGAAAAATGTTTTGGAAGTATCTAGTTAAATATAGACTTATGATTCTATGAAACCAAGTAAACCCACTTCTTGGTATTTACCCAAGGAATATTAAAATATATTTCCACACAAAGTGTGGCTTATGAAGATTTAGTCATATTTACCAACAGCTCTAAACAATTCAAAATGTTCAGCAACCAGGGAATGGATAAACTTACAGTGGTTTACCCATACACTGGAATGCAAGTCATAAATTTAAATAAATAAATAAATATATAGAAGTACTGAGGCTTGCAACACTATGAATAAATTTCAAAAGCTTTATGCTAAATGAAAGAAAACAGCTAAACAAATAGTGGATGATTCCATTTTATTATATATTAGAAAAGGCAAAGTATAGGAATAGAAATGAAATAAGTGCTTGAGGTGGGAAAAATGGCTTCCTGAAAGCCAGCAACAGACAGTATATCCTTGAATGATGGGCATTACAGTTTTATGTAACATAATCACATACAAAATAATCCTATATAGCTCATTACCTTTGACATATTCTATGGGTTGGAAGCAAATTACAGGTCCCATTAACTCCAGAGGGGAGAGAATTACTCAAAGGCTTGAATACCAGGAAGCAAGAATCATGTGGACCACATTAGAATCTGTTGGTTGGAGTGAGCAGAAAAGCTACAAACAAGTGGGCAAATCTAAATTAGCAGGGACTAATTTAGGCAGATTAAGTACAAGATAAAGCTTAAACATTAGATAATAATAACATGAATGATAGAAAGGAGATGGTAGATGGTGAAACATTTTAAAATTTATTTTTCAGCAGTCAAATAGAAATGCTGACTTATATGAGAATAAGAAAAAAAAACAGAAAATAGTATGCAAATGCAACTTTAAAATTATTAGAACAAAGAGAACAGAAGTATATAGTAATTAATGTCTGGCCCTTGAGAAGAATTAAATAAAATTAAAATCACATATAATTTTATTGTAAAAGATTAAAATTTCAGTGAAATATTAATCAAAGGCAGAATTTTGAGCACAAATTAGGGATAACTAATGGATACCAAAAAAAATAGAAAGAATGAATAAGAACTACTATATGATAGCACAATAGGGTGACTATAGTCAACAATAACTTAATTGTGTATTTTAAAATAACTAAAGAATGTAATTAAATTGTAATTGTAACTCAAATTATACATGCTTGAGTGGATAGATACCCCATATTCTATGATATGCTTATTTCACATTACATGCTTCTATCAAAATACCTCATGTATTTCATAAATATATACACCTACTATGTACATCCCAAAATTTAAAAAAATAATAAAAATAAATTTGAATTTAAAAAATAACAAATTAAAAAAAATACCTGTAGTGACTTTTAAATATTATAGAATTTTAGAGCTGGAAAAACTTTACTACTTATAGAGTCGATCTTTCTATTTTCCAAAATTAATATTAAGAGTCTGTAGTAGAAGTAAGATCTGAGGTCAATCTAACTTTCATAATACAATATTTCATTTATTCATCAAATCACTTAGACCAAATATATTAGTTTTTTTTAGGTTGCTGTAATGAAATATCACAAACCAGGTGACTTACAAACAACAGAAACATATTGCTTACAGTTCTGGAGCTGGGAAGTTTAAAATCAAGGAAGATTTACTTTCTGGCTAGAATTCATTTCTGATTCATAAATGGCACTTTCTAGTTGCATCCTCCCATGGTGGAAGGAACAAGGTGGCTCTCTGGGTCCTCTTTTATAAGGGTACTAATTCTACTGATGAAGGCAGAGCCCTCATGGGTTAATCACCTCCAAAAGGACCCTACCTCCTAATACCATCACCTTAGAGGTTAGGATTTCAATATATAAATTGTGGGGGAGCAAACAGATCATAATACAATATGTTTGCCAACAAAGAACCGTGTTTTATAAGAACAAGTACTTTCTACTAAAACACATTTCTGATTTTCTGCATGTTATGTTTATTCCCATTTTAGTTTACCATCTGAATTATAAAGTGCATTTTTAATTTAGCTAATGAATGTTCCTTCTATTTGGCTTGCTTGTGATTGCTACCACAAACTACTATATAAGCACTAAATGTGTAGAAAATATACACAATAGGCAAACAATATGTGGTCAATGCTTTCAATGTGGAGAACATTTGTAGTAGATTTCATTTCCAAAGATGATAAGCTAGGTTTAACAAAGAAAATATCTGATTTGTGAGGGATATATTGTGCAGAATACTGCAAGCAATGACTAGGAATACACCCATATCAATATTCAGCTGTAATTTAAATTTTAAGATTTATTAGAAAACCATCGTTTTGCCCAGTGTTATGTTTCCCAAAATAATAAACTGCTGACTGAAAAATTTGTCATTAGCTGGTTAAAAACAAACAAACAAACTCTAGGGACAGCTAGACCGACAGAACCACTTTTCATGCTTTTATTATTCAGCGCTGCACTGATCATATTTTCATTCTTTAAGTGTAGTGTTTGTGGGTTTCAGCCCACCCATTAGTTATTCCATTGGGAATTTATTCTCTGTTACCAAAAAAATTTAAAAAGCAGCTTGTAAAATTTTGAGCTCTCATAAGGACCTAAAGGCCATGAAACAACAAGGTTTTTTTTTAAGTGGATTTGTTAAGTATCTACCTAAAGTAAGGAATTAAACTTATAGTACGTGTACTTCAGAAAGGGTTATTTCTGATGCTGAGTAATGCATAGAGAGGGACAACAAAACTGTTTAATTTTTATGACTCACGTACACGATGCTTACATATTATGGCAGCACTTAGTGTCATTAAAAGAAAAGTCATCAACACTACTGTTGAAATATTTGAACCTTAGAGGAGTTTCATCCATTTTTTTGTCAATATACATCTTAAATATATTTTCCTTTATCTTTTCATAAAGGTTGATTTCATAATATTTAAGTACATTAATAGTTTAATCAATTATTAAAATATGTAAAGTCATAGAAAAAATGTTTTAAAATGTTATCATTAATCTTGCATACTTTTAATAACAAATACATGTCTGTTATTTTGTTGAAGAGATTTTTAGAAGATGCTACTGGGAATAAAATCTTTGGGGATATTGCTTATTTCAGTCTCTTATGATTTCTCACGTCAATTCCTAATTGCTATTTCTAATTCCTTAATTAGAAATAAAGTATACACACATATATAAAATATTTACATGAAATAAATTACCCTCCTTACACAAATATACCATGTGTTTGTGTGGAGGGAAAAAAACTGAGCATGCCCTATGGACAGAGCATGACTACAAGTTAATTAGGTAAAGAGAGGAAACAGTAGCTTCGGATGGAGGAATGCTTTCTACCATGGTCAGATGGGCAGAGCCTTGGAATCATGCCCTTTTCTCCATTCCCAAAATGTCCAGAATGGATCAGTGCCTAATCAATGTCCTGTAGGGGGACAAAGTGATAACAGGGCATAAAAAAAATGTAGCAGCTGGTGTCTTAACATCAGGACTGCAACATAGCCATCACTGGAATAAGGCATGGATTACCACAGGTCTAGAGTCATCATTCCTCAATTAAGAATGTATTTTTCTCCTATTTCTCCATACCTTCAGTGCAAAGCAAGTGAAAAAGGAGAGAGAAAATCCCTCAAACAGAGTATATAGAAGGCAGAGAAATGGAGAATGTCCTTGAGGAGCAAGATTGTTGATGAAAGGTCAGAAAAGTGTAATCAAGCACTGTCAAGCACCCTGGGCTCTCTCATGTACCCTGACAGCATCTACTAGGGCCTGGGCTTTGTTCACAGCCTGCAATATACATCACCAGTTAGTGAGGTGATTTCACTAGAGCATTATATCCAGAAATGCAAAGATAACGCAGAATTAAGGCATTCAGCGATAATCAAGGAAAAGCAACAAGGAGTGAGAAAGAAAGGAAGGAAGAAATGACACAGAGGAAGGAAGAATTGTTGGGAAAAGATGGAAGGAGAAGAAAGGGGGAGAAATACACAGGTGGTGGAAAGAAAAACATGGAGTCAGACTGAGAAAGGGTAGACTAATGATGGCATAAGAAGGGAGAGAGAGATTAAAACAGAAAAGAAAAGGTAAAGATGGAGAAAGGACTTCATTGCATCTAATGTGAGAGTACCACCAAAATTAATTTATTCTAATCATATATTTCTGCTCACTAGGACCTTAGCCATCAGCATAGATCATCTTCTTTTATCAGTGCACTTTGAAGTATTAATTTACTCTTCAAGAGTTTTAAAAACATTATTTCTAATCAGAGAATTATATCATATATTTTTAGATTTATAATATTGTTTAAGTAAAACTATGGAGAAATTCCTAAAAGTTTACATTGATGTATGATTTAATAAGTTTTTAAAAATAAAGTATTTCGAATGTAGAAATTAACTTCGGAACTGTCATCATCTCATCATTTACAAAAATAGACTAAAAGTGCTTTGACATTTGAAAGTCATTGGATTGTCTTATCCTGTTTTTGGACAGATAAATGCAGCCTAGTTTATAACTCTTGGAAGCTACATTTAAAATAATTATTTATAGTCCAGGCGTGGTGGTTTACTCCTGTAATCCCAGCACTTTGGGAGGCCGAGGCGGGCGGATCACCTGAGGTCAGGAGTTCGAGACCAGCCTGGCCAACATGGTGAAACCCTATCTCTACTAAAAATACAAAAATTAGCCAGGCATGGTGGCAGGTGCCTGAAATCTCAGCTACTCAGGAGGCTGAGGCAGGAGAATCGCTTGAACCCAGGAGGCAGAGATTGCAGTGAGCCAAGATTGTGCCACTGCATTCCAACCTGGCAACAGAGCGAGACTTTGTCTCAAAAAAAAAAAAGATAATAATAATAATAATTATTATTATTAATAGCATTGCCTGTAAATAATTATTTCTTTCTTGAGAAATGATTGTTTCTTTCTCAAACTAAAACACATTTTAAGTTCCAATAGATGTCATGATCTGATGATATTCAATGAGAATATTATGGTACATTGCTGCATTGTTCCCAATTTTCACCCTTTCCTATATCCAAGGCTTTTGCTACGTTCTTACGTAGCTCCTCCAACTACAGGCATAATATATTTCCCCTCCTTGTTATGCTATGCACGGACATGTGACTTACTTTAGCTGTTGGTATATCGGCAGAAGTGCCAACTTAAAGCCTGTGTCTTAAGAGGCATCATATGTTTCTGCTTATGTCCTGAATCTCTGTGACAACTAGTGCATTGGTCCAAGGAAGATGAAAGACATGTGGACTAGATCTGGAACAGCCTGAAGTTTAGAGCCAAACTCAGCTAAACTCAGTCTATGTCCACCTATCTCAGCTAGCCCACAATTCAACGAAGCACAAATAAATGATGACATTGAGTTTAGGGCTGGTTCACTATACAACACTATTGCTTCAATAGCTTACTAATACAAATATTAGCAATTACTATATTGTAGTAATCAATTTAAAAAATGAGATCTCCTGATTTCTAATCTAGATCCTTTTTAAAAATTTGTTTACTCGATGTTAAAGTTTAATACATAATTCTCTTAAATGTTTTGAAGTCACAGACCAATTGCATTATATATTACTTTTATGAAGAATAATAATTAATTCCCTGTTATTTAATAATTCTTAAAAGCTTGAATGATAGAAACAATGTTTTAGAAATGTACTTCAATGATATACCACTCATATCTTGTTATATAAAATCCAAAATAAATCCAAAGACAATGTATACAAGTATAATGAGAAAACCAAAAATTTTGTAATTGTCAAGTAGACAAGATAATCTGAAAGATTTGCGAAATACAATTAGCCAAATGCATCTAGTAGGAATACATACAGACGGTAGTATTATGAACATACATAAAATGTTGAACATGACAACTTGAGAATGTGCACACTTCTGTGAACACATGGAACATTTGTGAAAAGCAATCACACTAGACAACAAAACAATGAACAACGAATTTTTATAAAATCCTACAGATCATATTCTCTAATGATGATAGTATTAAGTTTGAAATAAATTATAAGAAAATAAGTAGAAAATCCCTGTACAATTATTAAGTTGCTTAATTCCAAAGAACTTAAGGGACAAGAAATACATTATGTCAAAAAATAGGAACTATTTAACAACTAATGATAAACAATATTATACATCAAAACTTTGATGATACAGGTAAACAGTACTTAAATGAAGAATTCACATCCTTTGTAAAGATTTATATTGAAAAGAAAAAATACTGAAAATAAATTAAAAATCTATTTCAAGAACATATAAAATAAACAGCAAAATAAACAAGTATTGAAAAAATAATAAAGATAGAAGAAAGTGATAAAAAAAGGAAAATACTGCCAAGATGATCAACAATGCCAAAAGTGAGTTTGTTAAATTAATAAAATTGACAAAATTATGTAAAGAGTAATGATTAAAAAAGCAAAGTTGCAACTAGTCAATAATAGGTATTAAATAGACTTGGTTGTATATGCCATAGACACTACAGATAGGGGCTTATTATAAAGAATATTGTGCTACAATGTATTTGAAAACTTAAAAAAATAGCTGGACTCACAGAAAAATATAGCTTATTAAATTTATTCCAAAAGAAATGCAATACTTGAATAATTCTCAAACATATTGAAGAACAGTTTTAAATCTCCCACCTCCAAAAATGCCCAGGTCCAAGTGGTTTAATCAGTTTTACCAAGAATTAAAAGATGCATATTTTCAAACACAAACTGTTTCAACACATATAAAAAGAAGACCTACACTTCAACTTATTGTATAAGATCAGTATCACTTTAAGTACTGATCACAAGGGCAGGAAGAGAAATAATAATTATGGAATAACATCACTCATAAACATAAATGAAAAAAATCTGAACAAATCTCAGGAAACCGAATTCTGACATGTATAGAAAGGTAAGATTCCTTAAACACATGGAATTTATTTTGAAAATGAAATGTTGATTTTAATCTTAGCAAACCAGTAAGTTTAATTCATTATCTTAACTGAATAAGACAAGGATTACTTAATTATATCAAAAGATACAGAAAAGTAATGGATAAAATTTAACAATTATTCTTAGCAACTAGAAAATGAAGGAGTTTTTTTTAACCTTGATGAAGAATATCCATAAAATTCCTCATTATGGTAAAATGGTAAGACTATTTCATTTAAAATCAGGAGCAAGGTCTGGGTGATCATTATTATAATTAATAACTTCTATCCAATAGTATTTCATGCATTACATAGCTCTAAATAGGATATTAGTTATATATAATATTTTCTTAGATTTTTTAAAACCCTCTATGTCTACCCATGGTCATTAATTTTTTTCCTGTTTCTAATTTTTTATCTACTCTTCTCTCCCTACCCTCCTCATTGCTTCTTTGCATAATAGTAGCAGAAAGGTTATTTCTCATATGATTATTTTTATAATAAAAACTCATTAAATTATATATCCCTCTCAATTGGAATGCTTGGCTCCCTTAACTTCTTTTTTAATTTCATAAGCACTTTTCTAAAACCCCTTGGATATAACATTTTCGTTTCATTTTGTTTTTGCAATTAATAATTTCATATTACCCTCTTTAATTCAGAGTAATTTAGGAACATATGACTAAATTTCCAACTGTCCTTTTAAAATTAGTTGCACATTTATGAAATACAGTGTTTCAGCCACAGTAATATCTAGGATCCCTTATAGCTCTAATTCTACCTATTTATTAGCGCTAATTTTACAATGTCTCTGTAGAGAAGTTTGAAAGAATTTGGTCAATTTTAAGTGGATTTTCTTGGAGCGTGTTTTTAGATCATGTGGAGGAGATGACAGGATAAAGGAGGAAGCAGTCTCAAGAATGAAGGTGTAAGCTGCTTACTAGGATTTAGCAATCCACACCAGTTTATCTTAGAGCATCAGATGTATGACTCAAGTCTTTGTCTTCAGCCAGATGAAATGATTTTATTAAAATGGCCAGTATAAGTCATATATGACAAGGACTACAAAGGTTTCAGTTCCTTTATTTCACTATGAGGGTGGAGAAAGGGACCAGAAATACTGTTTTCCTCTGCCCACGTTCCGCAGCAACCTATTAATTTATTGATGGAAGAGTATGTTTACAAAGAGTTCATTTCCAAGGTTGATCTCTCCAATGGTTCTAATCTATTACAAGAGAACATAGTATGATGATTTCCAGTTAAAAACAATCAAGGTTAAAACAACCTCCAAGAAGTTTTTCAAATAAAATCTATCAAATAAAATTGAACACTTCCAGAAATCTAATGCCTTTTTTGTACAATTATATCATTGTACAGCGATAAAAGATAAATTACATCAAATTTTCAACTCTTTACTACCATTCTATTCAAACAGATAGAAGACTTTCGAACAGCCTGTAAATGTGACAACTGTCAACAATGGGTTGAAGCCAACCCATTGGTTAGTGACTCTCAGTTCTTATCTTTTTCCAGATTCTCATTCTCTGCAAGTTAGAGATGGAGGCCAAGGGCAAGATTAAACTGGGATTTGCAGGAGTCAAAAGCCCTAGGGGATGTTGCTAACTGTGAGTATGTAGGTAACGTTTTGCTTTTTCTGAAAACCTTTCAATAAAACTGATAGAATATAGAAATGCACACAATTTCTTAAATGCTTTGATGCAGAGTCTATTAAAAGATATGAAAAGAAAATCTTCCACTGTGATATTTTATGCCTCCAGTGACCTAACTTTATGATAAAATAAAAGTCATAGAAAAATATGTAAAGTTAAATATAATTGGAACACCTGGATGGAAAAATGTTTAAAAATGGCATTACTGCCTTAACCGTACCAACATGAGCAGAAGTCCTATAATCATGTTCAGTGGTAATGTGGAACCATATGTGGTGAAATAAAATACAGGACAAATATATAAATACATCTGTTGCTACAGATTTTCAGCCTTTTAACACTCGTAGATTTCTGTTTGGGGTCTGACTCTGACTATATCCTACTGTTTTATGTATTTTTCTGTAATTTTGTGAGATTAACAGAGCCAACTTGCAGATTACTGCTAAATGTTAGTTCCTTTCTCAACTTTTAGAGTGTTGGGGCTGTAGCACTCTTTTTCTGAATGAATAACCCTCAAACACAAACTGTTTTGGTACAATCTTAGGTACTTAAAGTCCCATAATATGCCTATAATAAAACCCCAACAATTAGCCTGGCATAGCAATGTATACAACATCATATATCCGTATCCAAAAACCAACACAGTTTGACCACCAGAAAGCTTGCAAAACAGGCATGGGTTTAATGTTTCTCAATGTCCTTCACTGCGTCTCTCTCTCTCTCTCTCTCTCTCTCTCTCTCTCTCTCTCTCTCTCTCTCGTTTGCTCTCTTTCCCCTCCCACACAGACATAGACAGACAGACAGACAGACACACACACACAGATACACAGTCTTCTATGTACAGAATATAATTTTGAAAAACCAACCAATAATGTAAAACTGAATGCCTTTTCTCCTACAGTATAGATGAATCACAATAATTAATGTTATTATTTTAAATTAAAATTAACTACACTGTAAATATGTATTAATTATTGCTTAATGCAGACAGGATTGGTGGTAACATTTTCTATCTCTCATAGCCTTGTAAAATAGGAATGAAAAGAAAGAAAACTTGTATTCACGCCACAATTATTTTTTGAATATATGAGCATCGATTAAAGCAGAAATATGTTTCATTTTCTTCTTTACTAGTGTGGAAATTATGAGTGAAAATCAAATTTCATATTTGGCCCAAAATTTGGCAAATAACAATAATCTGGAAAGAAAAAATACCGCTTTTTGTATAAAAGCATTTATACTTTTAGAAAAATAAATCCTTACAAAAAGTTTTGTTTGTGCTTTATTATTTTCTCTATCCGACAATATAGAAAAATTTGTACACCTGATAATTTATCATATTTTATTTTTAATTGACAAATAATAGTTGTACATATTTATGGGATGCATAGTGATGTTTTGATGTATATAGCAATCAGATCAGGGTAATCCGAATCTCAAACATTTATTATTTCTTCACGTTGGGACTGTTCAATATCCTCCTTTGAACTATTTGGAACTATATAACATATTATTGTTAACTATAGCTGTCTTACAATGACATAGAACACTAGAATTTATTCCTCCTCTCTAGCTAAAATTTTGTATTTTTAGATGGTCAAAGTTAAAAAATAAAAAGAAATATTTTTCCTTCTAACATTTGATTGTGTGATATATATATATGTATATATAGATGTGTGTGTATATATATATATATACACGCAATCTTGCATGTATATATATATATATATATACATGCAAGATTCAAACTACTATAAACCTAGGGAATTAATAACAAAATAACAAAATAACGCTTTATGACATACCAATGGAAAAAAACAAATCATTGTCACTCCTTTTGAAATCTCTATACAAAGTGTTTTAATTTCTATACCATCTTATTTTCTTGTCTATTAAATGAAAAGTGATGAAAATACTGTCAGTTCTCATTATTCATGGATCTAATATTTGCTAACATTTCTTCTTGTTTCAGTTTTCATACCATAAACAAGTGTCCTTTTTACAGATTGTCTTAGTGCCACAATTTTTGCATTTCTGTGCTTCTTATTGGTGATTTTGCTGTTTGAAATGGCCCCAAGCATAGTGGTAACTCTAATGTTTTTAATGTTCTTAAGAGCAAGAAGGCTGTGAACTGCCTTTGAGAACTGCCTTAGAGAAAAACACTATATATTAAATAAGGTGTATTTAAAAAGAAACACATATAAGAAAAAGTAATTGATTGGTTGATGAATATGTTGTTACCTAAAGGGGATAGAAACCTAAACCTGAATTTCACCTAGGAGTGATGGTTCAGTGTGTTGGGTGGCTAGGGCTTCCGTAACAAAATATAGGCTTGGTGGCTTAAACAACAGAAATTTAATTTCTCACAGTTCTAAAGGCTTCAAGACCAAGGTTCCATGTTAGTCATTTTCTAGTGAAGGTGCCCTTCCTGGCTTGCTGACAGCCACCTTCTCACTATGTCCTCACATGGCCTTTCCTTAGAGTGCACGAGGGGTGGTGGGCAGGTGATATTCTCTGGCGTCACCTCTTATAAGTGCACGAATCCTACTGGATCACGACCTCATCTCTATAACCTCATTTAATATTAATTACTTCTTTGGATACCCCATCACAAAATACAGCCATACTGGGGGTTAAGGATTCAGCATATGAATTTGTGGAGGACACAAACATTCAGTCCATAAAATTGAGTATTCACTTATACATTGCTTGCCACAAATTAATAAAACATAACTATTGTGAATAATGAAATCAGAATCATGAAATATCTGATGTTTAAGGACTAATTAATAATACTAATTGTAAAACACACAAATCAATGAGAGAGAGGTATATAATAAGCCTTTTTGTTAACATATGGAAGAATTTAAGCTGCCGTCTTCACCAAATTTTTTTAAGAACTTGTTTATTTTGATTAAGTGAATGCTACTTATATAATTAAAAATAAAATTAATATACAGATAAAAGTTCAAAGTGAGTAGAAAGAGGAGAAAATGCTGAGAAAGTATCTGGCTCTACAGTACTAAAGTAAATTTAGGATTGGATTTTTAAATAATAACCCTTCTACTTGCTTGATAGCAATTTTCAATGCATTGCAGGTGGTGAATCCCATACTCATTTACCCAGTGGGCTTTTATTTGGAAAACACAATTAGAGAAATGTGAATATAATTCAACTCCTTGCTTAATATAATCCATATATGTAATAATACACCACACCAATGGTTTATGAGCAAGATCCATCAGTTTCCTATACAATATAAAACCATTATATTCATACAGTATTTATTTTCTAAAGTTGAAACCAGTGATACATTTTACTTGTAATCTGTTATATTTCTCAATCTGTAAATACATTAATTTTGGTTATTCAAATAACTCTCTAATTATCACACGCTCTCAGAATTATACTTACCTAAACAATAGAGTTATTACTTAGAAAAATATATATTGAAATATTTCCCAAGTGTTCTTAATGCTTAAAATATTTTTCAGCCTTTTCTTTATTTAAATTCTTTCGTCACATAACTTCATTGCACACTGCATTATTTTCTGTTTTATCTTCAGTTTAACTTCAATTTTAATGCTTAATAACAAATAAGACAAAAAGTTCTACCTAGCTCAACTAGAATCCTCATTGTATTTTGTGAAAATACGTGTGCTACTGAAAAATCTAACAAAATATTCAGAAAAGAAATAAAGTTTAAGAACACAGTATTAAAAAATAATAAAAAACAAAGCAATTTTTGAACCAAACTAAGTTATTACAGGACATTAAATAATTGATTTAAAACATGAAAAATAATAACAAGACTCTTAAAACACCCTAGGATTCAGAATTATATCACTATTATAAATATATAGGAAATTTCAAATTAATGAATCATTCAATAATTTATGTCAACTAAAACAAAGATGCAAACGTGTAAAGCTGTTTAGGTGGTCTTTGGGAACTGTATTTATGTTCTAACTTTAATTAATGTTGCCAAGCATTTAAATATTCACCAAAATCCTAAGACTCATAAAATACATTATTGAAGAAAACTGTTTAGTTGGTTAAACACAAACAAACAAAAAAATCCCATTATGTATGGCAGTATTCTCTAAAATTCTTCACAAACAAATAAAGTATCATATAAAACTTCAAAGTGAATTGATTATAGGAAAAGCACCAGATTTTAATTACTTTTTCTGGAACACAAAGCCACAATGAATTAAACTTCTGAAGGTTAACTTGCATTATGATCTTATTCTCTGATCATGACTATATCTCCTTATTCTGTCTCAGATGGCACCTGTGGCTTGGGAGACCATTCTGATTCAAACCTACACCTTCCTATCTTTGGTTCCTGTGCTTCTCTGGCTCAAGGTTTTCTCAGGCCATAGAAGCTAGCTCAGGTGGGGCTCAGAGAAGGCCAGAAGAACTGGTGAGTTTATGTCCTCAAGGACAACTCTCACATAATGAGGACAGGAGTTGATGAATAAAAATCTCAGCTTTCTTGTGCCTTGATGGAGAAATCTGAGGTGTGTTCTACATACACAATTAGAGGTTCCTATAAAGATGAACCCAGTTGCACCCAGCAGTAACCTATTCATGAATGCAAACCCTGTTGGCTTTTATCCCTTCCTGGACTCACCTTCCCATGCTTTCATCCAGCTCCTTGGAATAATCTCCATAATATACAATTTGCACCCATCCTATCTCACCCTAACACTCTCATCAGTGGTGCTTTCTGATAAGGTGTAAGTGAAAGAAGCACTGGCATGTACTAGCCCTACCACTTGAAAGATATGTCAGCCAATAGTGGTTACAATGATTTTGGATCCAGTTCTCATTTGTAAAGACTTTATAAAAAATAATGTTTAATGTTGAGTGTCAGCCAGCAATTAACTCAAGACATGCTGTGAAAGCCAAGACTTCCATGGCCGTATTTAAAAAGACTGTATCGTCCTTTGGGTATATACCCAGTAATGGGATGGCTGGGTCAAATGGTATTTCCAGTTCTAGATCCCTGAGGAATCGCCACACTGACTTCCACAATGGTTGAACTAGTTTACAGTCCCACCAACAGTGTAAAAGTGTTCCTATTTCTCCACATCCTCTCCAGCACCTGTTGTTTCCTGACTTTTTAATGATTGCCATTCTAACTGGTGTGAGATGGTATCTCATTGTGGTTTTGATTTGCATTTCTCTGATGGCCAGTGACGATGAGCATTTTTTCATGTGTCTTTTGGCTGCATAAATGTCTTCTTTTGAGAAGTGTCTGTTCATGTCCTTCGCCCACTTTTTGATGGGGTTGTTTGTTTTTTTCTTGTAAATTTGTTTGAGTTCATTGTAGATTCTGGATATTAGCCCTCTGTCAGATGAGTAGGTTGCGAAAATTTTCTCCAATTTTGTAGGTTGCCTGTTCACTCTGATGGTAGTTTCTTTTGTGGGTGCAGCACACCAGCATGGCACATGTATACATATGTAACTAACCTGCACAATATGCAAATGTACCCTAAAACTTAAAGTATAATTTAAAAAAATAAATAAATTAAAAGGCTGTATCTTCTGCAGCTGGAGCCCAAACTAGTACTGAAAATAAAGCTGAACGTTTAATTGTGAGAGTGATGAAATTATAGAGGAGACATTCATAAATTAATAAGTTGGTTATAATAAAGCCAGGAACCTACTAGTGAAGTAGTAAAGGACTGATATCCTGAGGAATTTGTTGGTGACATTTAAATAGATTCACTTGAGTAGCTTAAACTCTCCAGATTCCCGTAAAACCTCTAGGCTAGGGGATCACATCCCCTTCCCAACCATCTTCAGTGGCTTATTTAAGATGGATGCCTCAGAAGATGATGCTTGCCTGCATCATGAGTGCTTCTGCTTTCTCTTATCATTTCCACACCAATAACCAGTATTAGTTTTCAGCATTGCCTAAGTGGGATCCTGATATAAAGAAACATTATTCACTGAAAAAAGCTGCTGAGCGTGGCTAATAACTACCAGTAGGAACCAAGAGAACATATGTCAGCATGAATCTTGAGGGTGCTAAATGAAAGGAGGTAGAGCATAGGGTGTTGAGGGGAGAATTTATTGATAAGATGGCACTCTCTCTGATGCAGAATTTAACATGTTGCCAGAACACCTGAAGCTGGTCCTACTATGGTGTTGCAATGGCTCTTTTAGGCTTAGAGATGATGAGGTACTGTAGTGAATAAGGTAGAGTTATTGGAACTGCCTTGGGAGAGTGATAAGAAAGGAGTAAGTGGGCATCCTAGGATAGGTTTAATATATAAGAACAGGAAATCTATCAGGTCACTCTGTTTCCAAATGACCCAGAAGACATCGTCTCCACTAAAATGATTATATGCACTAGTGAGGAGAGTGCCAGCATTCTTGAGAGTATTAGTCAGGCTGTCTTTCATAGACCGTGTTTGATAGTAGGACATGCTTTTCTTTCTGCCAATGGGAATAATAAAATTCTAGAATAGCAGAGGCCAGATAGTAGTACTTAACTATCAGAGGTAAGGTTGACATACTTGGAATATAGAACAGCAGGGCTGGAATGACATCCAGGTGTTCGCAACCTGTGGGCAACTTTGGCAAAAGACATAATTTTCCAAGAAGCAAAATGTATGTGCAACCAGTGAGAATATATCCAGGTTTGTAAAACCAAAATGATCAACAGTGGGTGAGCTGAATGAACAATGGTGTCAGCTGTTACAAGGGAAAACTATTATCTTTGTTTTCATATCTAAGCCCATCAGTTGAAAGGAAAGTGAGGTGTCCTTGAGGAAGATCTTATAATGCCAAAGAAAGGCTTAGCAAAATAAAAAAAAAAAAATCCAAAAAAATTAAGAATGAAAAAAATTGGAGAAATTTTAGATACCATAGTAACCAAGATATAACAAAAGAATATTATGAACCACTTCATGTCAATAAAAACAAGAAAGGAAAGAACTTAGAACATTGATCAAAGTAAGAGAAGAGAGAAGGTCAGTGTATGACTGAGAAGGGCCTAGAATAAGATGAATAAGGTAGGGGTGAAATCATGCAGAGCTTCCCTGGGAATGTCAAGGATCTTTGTTGATATTTTAAAGCGTAATTTGAAGGTAATCAGCACAGAAACAAATGACCTAAATTATATATTACAATATTACTTGGGCTGCTGAAAATATTTTTTGAATAAGAAAGATATTCCCAACAAATATTAAAAAATAAGAAATTCTAAATCAAGGTAGTAAAAATTTGTCATGTTTTTAAGTTTCCATATTACATGGGTTAAAGAAAGTTAAAAAAATGGATAGACTCATAGAAAGTATTAATATTTACATAGTATATAAAAGTCAACCAATAACATTTATCATGTGTAAAGTATATTATATTAACACAAAAGCAATAACTATGGTCACATAAATTGTATAAAATATATTGTATTTATATGCAGTGAATAGAAATGGACTCAGGCATGATTAAGTATAAAGGACTTTGTTATCATCCTACAAAGTAGCTCACAAAATAATGAGAAAGTTGGAGACTCAGAACTGATTAACAGGAATTAAGGAGAACTGGAAAACTAACTAGCAAATATTACTTTTTCTTCTTATTGGTGCACAATAACTGTAATGAATGAGGTTCTACCATTTTTTCCAAATTCTATTCACAAATGTTTAGTGTTTGTATTTTGGTGCAGCATCTTGGGAAAATATTTTGGCAGTGTCTGTCTAAGTAAAAACTAAGCTTTTTACTTATCAATTACATTTCTATGAATATTCTCGAGGCTTTCATTTCAGGTTTGGCTGTATCAGTAAGGATTCAATCAGGGAAGCAGAACTGCTGTGGGTTACATAGAATGAGGAAATTAGTATGGGACTCAGAATTTTTTGCAATTGTGGGAGCTAATGGAGCAGTCTATGGGCTCTTGGCTCCACATTTAATATTGAGTTTGAAGTCACTACAAATCATTCACACCACAAATTAGAAGGATGGTTGGAGAAAAGCAAAAGCCTATGAGATCAACTGGAACTCTAGGACAAACTGGAATGCATGAAGACAACAGGAACCTAGGATTACTCTGTGAAATCTATAACCTTCTTTTACCTCCAGACTCCATGCCACGGTTGACCTGCAGAAGAAATTGATACTCTTTGACACAGAGCATTTGCCACACTTAGCAAATGAAATGAAAATAAGAGATCTGGTGATATCTGTTAGTCTAGATTCTTTCCAAGACCCATTTGGAAAGCTAGCAGATCAACAATAATGCGAGCAAAATACCATAGTGCTTGGCATCCTGCACCTGCTAACACAGGACATATGGCTCTGCTATGGCTTGGCTGTGTCCCCACCCAAATCACATCTTGAATTGTAGTTCTCATAATCCTCACATGTCGTGGGAGGGATCCAATGGGAGGTAATTGAATCATGGTAGTTGTTACCCCATGCTGCTGTTCTCTTGATAGTAAGTGAGTTCTCATGAGATCTAATGGCTTTATAAGGGGCTTTTTCCCCCTTTTGCTCTGCACTTCTCCTTCCTGCTGCCATGTGAAGAAGGACATGTTTGCTTCCCCCTTCACCATGATTGTAAGTTTCCTGAGGCCTCCCAAGCAATGCTGAACTGTGAGTCCATTAAACTTCTTTTCTTTATAAATTACTCAGTCTCAGGTAAGTCTTTATTAGCAGCATAAGAATGAACTAATACAGGCTTCTTGCTTAATTTTTGCCTTCCTAAACTTACACAAGAAAGAGAAATCTAAGAAACTTAATTGTAGATTAGCTAAACAGACACAGCACAAAGTTATCATAGTGACCCTTTGCCTTTTTGAGAGGGTGGAAGGAGAAGAAAGTGGCTGACCATTTTTCAATTCCCCCAACAGTACTATGATGTCTTCAACTTTGATACAATCTCAATGCAAGCTAAGCCAATCCGATGGCCTCATACAAGGAATGAAGCTTTAACATAGGACAAAAAAAAAAGTATTGGAGATGTATTTAGTTTTGTCAAAAGTTTTCTTTACAATATATTGTTGTTCTAATTCCTGATCTGGAACCACCTTGATTGCTGCTTTTCCTCCAAGCATCTCATTGACTTTATGAGCCTTCAATATACTTCTAATAACTTATTTTTTACTTATGATAGCCACAGTAGTCTCTATTGATTGAAAATAAAATCCCTTAACTGATACCAGTCCACATGAACACAATTACATAAGTACAAGAATATTAATTGCAGTATTGTTTGTAATTGTAAACAACACATATGCCTAACAATAGAATGAATGAATAAATATACTACACATATATTAAGGAATATGTATTTTTCAGCTATTGTTGCATGAGAGCAAACACAATGTCTATGTGAAACACAAAAGCAAGCATTCCTTTCTCCCTCACAGGTCTTAGTTTATCTGTGATAGGAGATCTGTTTCATGATGAGGATTTATGAGTTTTTTATGGGATTCACTTCAGCTGTGGGTTTACCACATAGGTGTGTCACACTGAGATCAGGAAGAAGAGGTAGTGGCTCTCTGGAGTTTGCTCTTGTCATCACAAAGGCAATAACATATGAGAATGAGTCTTACCACCTGCTTTAATCATATTCACTAGCATCCCATTGAATAAGCAAATCACCTGGTCAAATTCATAATTAAGAGAGAGGACAATACACTTCATTCACCCTGTGGCCATAGCAAGGATGTGGACTGAAAGTACTATCATAGGGAAGTGAAGAATGGAGACTGATAATTCATTCTGCCACATAATGAAATTTTTAAAAGAGTGAAGTTCATCTATATTTGCTGCCTCAGAAAGATATCAAAAGTACATAAAGTGAAAAAAAACAAGGTTCAGAGATATGTAAATAATATCATTTTCTGTAAAATATGTCCATATCTCCTTCCAGAACTACAGAATATATATGTATACGTATGTGCAAATATATATTTCAATCAGAATGCCCATTTGCTATGACCAGCTGTTACCTCTGCTGAGAACACAGAGTCCTTACTTGGTGTTGCTTTGAATGTGAATTTTGTTCACAAAATTTCATTTGTACAGCATGTACAATTTTATAAGTGGCTTTAAAAATGTAAAACAAATATAAATTTATACTTTTAAAATTTATACTTCAACTGAGAGACTCCACCTACTAAACTCTTATTTAACTTAGTCACCATGTCAATAAAGGAAGAATTGTGATAAAATGATTATTCTGACATCCTCTGGTTCTCTGTGTCCAGTACCATGTTTACTAAATTTATGACTCACAAAAACATTCACTTTGTGACCATGTTATTCCTAGGCTCTAGAGTAAATGACTTCAGTTATCTTGCTTATTAAGCTTTTTTAGACATGCCCTATTTGTTTTCCTTTATACTGCCTCTCATCTGTTAATACCTATTTTTCCTTCTTACTCTTAATCCAGCTTCTAATCAACACAGGTCTGTATTTAAAAGAAAAAAAAATTATTCACTGGACAGGTCACCTTCTTGTGCTCAGGCAATTGCTCTAAACTTAATCAGGTCACTCTATGACTAGAAGAAAAATACAATGTAAGAAAACAGACTTTCATTGCTTCTATTATGTTATGCCTTTTAAAAATTAAGTCTAATGGATTGATATGCAATTTTGCTTAAAATTTTGTAACTATCTTTTGTAAAAGCGGATTAAATGTAAATATATATTTATCTCTGCTTTTCTCCTTAGCACACCATGCTTTAGAGTAGGGGTCCAGGTCATGAACGGTACAGTTCCATGGTCTGTTAGGAACTCAGCTGCACAGCAGGAAGTGAGTGACTGGCAAGCAAGCAAAGCTTCATCAGCTTCATCTCTATTTACAGCTGCTCCTTAGCACTACTGCCTGAGCTCCACCTCCTGTCAGATCAGCGGCAGCATTAGATTTTCATAGGAGTGTGAACCCTATTGTGAACTGCACAGGCATGCAGGGAATCTAGGTTGTGTGTTCCTTATGAGAATCTAATGACTGATGATCTGTCATTGTCTCCCATCACCCACAGATGGGACTGTCTAGTTGCAAGCAAACAAGCTCAGGGTTCCCATTGATTTTACATTATGGTGAGTTGTATAATTATTTCATTATATATTATAATGAAATAATAATATAAATAAAGTACACAATAAATATAATGCTCTTGAATTACCCCAAAAGCATCACAGCCACCCCCTCCCCACTATCACCCATGGAAAAATTCTTTTACAAAATTGAACCCTGGTGCCAAAAAGGTTGGGGTTTACTGCTTTACAGCCAGGTATATTATTTTGTTTTCTTATTGATGCCTGAATAAATCATATGTGCTGCTTTAGGTTGGGCCTTTTCTGCGAATGCATTCTTTTTCTTCTTTATCTAATCCTAACCATCTTTTAAGACCCAAGTAAAATTTTATTTCCACCAATGAATATTCAAAACTACTCAAGACGACATAGCTATCCCTTCTCTGAACTTCAATGGCATCATATCCTATGGCACGCAAATAAGATTTAACCTGCCATTTACTGTGCAATAATATGCTAATGTTTTCTTTTAAGTAAATCATAAGTTTCCTTCAATGAAGAACCATATTTAAATATTGTCTGATTTCTCATGACTGTTAAGACAGTACTAAATACTTCATATATACTTGATAGCATGTTATTGACCATCAGTGGTGATGCTAATTATTTACTCTCTATTAAACACAGAATTTGTAGTTGTGAATTGCCTTTTTTATGTTTTCTTTAAAAACACTCCCATATTTATACAAATATAAAGGAATGAATATCTGTGACTCATTCACTTATCATAAATCAGCAATACTGCAATTCATTCAATATATATTAAGCTAAACAAAATTCCTAGTGGAAAAGTAAAAAAAGGTTGTATTGCATTTCTGACAAAAGAACAATTCCCTAGATTGCCAATAGTACAGTAACAATAATGAAAAATAATGAGAACAATTATGGCAAAAGAAATCTCCTATGAAATTTATAAAATTTACACAAGTTCCAAATACATGACTTTTCTGGGAACTCTTCATCAAACTGAATGAACTCAGAAATATTCCCCAACTTGTATTTCTGTGAGCTATATGTCAAATTATTCAGTTGCATCCAATGTCAGTAGGATAGGATTATAAATCATTCTACTACAAAGACACATGCACATGTATGTTTACTGCAGCACTATTTACAATAGCAAAGACTTGGAACCAACCCAAATGTCCATCCAGGATAGACTAGATAAAGAAAATGTAGCAAATACACACCACAGAATACTATGCAGCCATAAAAAAGCATGAGTTCATGTCCTTTTCATGGACATGAATGAAGCTGGAAACCATCATTCTCAGCAAACTAACACAGGAACAGAAAACCAAACACCACATGTTCTCACTCATAAGTGGGAGTTGAACAATGAGAACACATGGACACAGGGAGGGTAACATCACACAGTGGGGCCTGTTGAGGGGTAGTGGGGGCAAAGGGAGAGAGAGTATTAGGACAAAAACCTAATGCATGTGGGGCTTAAAACCTAGATGACGGGTTGATAGGTGCAGCAAACCACCATGGTACATGTATACCTGTATAACAAACCTGCATGTTTAAGCACATGTATCCCAAGCTTAAAGTAAAATTAAAAAAAAAAATGACTGCCTCTTTTGGAAATGTTATACCCGTTAAATAACCTAGGGCTATTTTCAGGTCTCCCTGTATCTACAGATTCACTTACTTGTTTCATTTTTCTTCATTTTTTATTTTTATTTTTTTCATGTGGAGCATTCTTTTTAGAAATGACTCACTTAAGTTTCTAGAGCTTTTCTTCCTGTCTCTGCCTATTTCCTTCCATTTATATTGCAATGTTGTTATTACCGAAGCTATCCTTTGTAGTATTATTTTATCTATCTTACTTTATTTGCCTTGAATCATATTCACAGATCTGTCATTTTAGTTAAATTTCTTGGCAGTGAACTAATCTATTTTGCGTCTGGCTGATGAAAATTTTTTAGGAAATTGCAGTGCTATTTATGGAAAAACAACATATTTGCACGCACTTTACATTTGTTCACAGAAATATAATGTTAGTATTGCTTCTAGAGGTAACTATAAATGTGATCCTGTTTTATCTAAGCTTTCACTTCATCTCAAATGTCATGAAATAATGAACAGTTTATTAAACCTGTCTACTTGTCCCAGTGATAACATTAGTGAGAATGCCCTAAAATATATAAAACCATACAAGTTTCACATTTCACAACAATGATATGAAAAACATCAAGGAAAGATGAACCATGTATCTAAAAATGTACATCTGCAAGTATACATTTACTTCTAATGGTGTGTTCTGCCACAAAGAGCACACCATTTGATTCTAATTCTAGGATACCTTAGAAACAGAAAGATAATTTTAATCTTAATAATTATCATTTCATGGCAGCTGTTGTAATTTAAGCAGGTAAGAAAGAACCTGACACATTCAGCTGCCTTGCAGTGTGTGGGCCCATTGGTACAGTTTACTTAGCTTACTTAGGCAAGCCTGAGTCACAGAACCTCAACTCTGTGAGTCTGGAAAGTAAATTCACTTGTTCTTAGAAGGGTATCTAGACACTACAAAACAAAATCATACTTAAAAAAAAGAACTCAAAAGAAATTGGTTTCATTAACATTTGTGATTCTGTGAGTTTTCCCATGCTGTTCATGCTGTCTAAAATATTCTTCTCTATTCCTTCTGCTGCATAAACTCTTATTCATAAAAACAAATAACCTGATTTTAAAAATGAGAAAAGAACCTAGATAGACATTTCTCGAATGCATACAAACGGCCAACAGGTATATGAAAAAAATGTCCAACATTATAATGCAAATTAAAACAAGAATAAGATGTCATTTCACACTTGTTAGACTAGCTGTTGTCAAAAGTCTCTACTAAAAATACAAAAAAAAAAAAAAAAAAAAAAAACTAGCCAGGCATGGTGGCACATGCTGTAGTCCCAGCTACTTCAGAGGCTGAAGTAGGATAATCAAATCACTTGAACGTGGGAGGCGGAGGTTGCAGTGAGCCAAGATCGCACCACTGCACTCCAGCCTGGGTGACAGAGTGAGACTCCGTCGAAAAAAAATAAAAAAAAAAAAGATAAGTGGATGAGGTAATGCAGATGTTAATTAGTTTGGATTTGCCATTCCACAATGTGTGTGGGGGAATAATATTGTATACCATAAATATACAGAAATTTGTCAATTTACATAGAAAAATAATTAAGCTACAAAACAAAATGAACCACAGATAATAAAACACAATCAGCTCTAATTTTTTAAAGTCATCCAGTCCAAAATACAAACCACTCTGTGAAGTGTTTTTACTTCTTCAGAAAGTGATAATTCACTCTGTTCTTGATTCACCACCAAATGATGTTCATTACTTATTTACCATGTAGGATCATGATAGAGACTTAATCCTGGCCCATAGCCTGGATGTGTTAATTTATAAATAGGGAGTCTAAGTATTTTCACATTTTAACAATGAGAGCAGTAATTTTCCAATGACCTGAATTCTTCTCTACTTAGCACACTATTCTAGTCATTGTCAAGGTGCTGATATATTAAATTAAGTATCACAGCATGCTTAGGCATCATGGTCTACTGGGACTTTTACTAGCTAAGTGTAAGGCCAATACATAGGTAAGGTCTCATCTACAATATTGTATCATACATCCTGTCTTTCATATCATTGTGAGAATAAGATAAGGTAACATATAAAAAAAGTTTTGTAAATTTTTATGTAAGTCTTCATAAATAATAGCAAATGTAGAATACCACTACAAAAACTTTGGCAAGATAGTATTTTTTTCTAGTGCATTTAAAATGATTTTCCTCTAGAAAGACAACCTTACCTCAGTCATGTTACAATCAATTGAAAATCTCAGCTCTTTTAGACCTATACTTACTAATTATATTTTAGAGTATCTTGTATCTACAGATGCTAATTTCACCCATTTAGATTAGATTTAGATTTAGATTAATTCCCATTCAGATTCAAAGAGTAATATTTCTAACCTTGTACACAAATTTTGGGGTATATGCTCTTTGCAAATTAAGTTTCTGCAGAATATTGAAAGTGATTAATGTTGTAGAAATGTTTACCATATATTTTTATTTATAATACAAATGCAACTAAATTGCTACTGTGTCGTATGTCCCTAATGCATAGCACAATCTATTACAGTGCTCTTCAGTGTAAATTTTTGTAAGGATGGAGATATTCTACCAGTGCTATGGTAGCCACTAACTACACGTGGCTACTGAAAACTTGATATGCGTCTAGTACAACTGAAAAACTGACTTTTCTATTTTTTAAAGTTTTAATTAATTTAAATAATAATGGAAATAACCACATATGTCTAGTTGCTACCACAATAGATGGCAAAAATCTGCAGTTTCCACCCAATGTAGGTAATCATACAGTATAATAATTTAATCCTACATAGCATATTCTTTAAAAAATAAGACTTTTGTAAAACAATGCATCTTCAGTAGATGTGTAAGAACAGGGATTCAAGTAAAACTATAAACCGTGATGTTTAGAGAAGGAGTCAGAGTGCAAACCATTTAGCAGCTATTGAGTGTCAATTGTGTGTTAATCACCATGTTCAGTCAAATATACGAAATAGAGAATTAAAATATGTACAAAAATAACAAAAGCCTTTTTACCTGAAGAGTCTGCAATCTAAAAGAGAGCAATGTTTGTAGAAACAAATACTGACTTTGGGGTGATATATATATATATATATATATATATATATATATATATATATATATAATATATACATATATAGAATATATATATTATTATATTCTATATATAGAATATATATATAGAATATATATATATAGAATATATATATAGAATATATATATAGAATATATATATAGAATATATATATAGAATATATATATATAGAATATATATATAGAATATATATATATAGAATATATATATATAGAATATATATATATAGAATATATATATATAGAATATATATATAGAATATATATATAGAATATATATATATAGAATATATATATAGAATATATATATATAGAATATATATATAGAATATATATATATAGAATATATATATAGAATATATATATATAGAATATATATATAGAATATATATATATAGAATATATATATAGAATATATATATATAGAATATATATATAGAATATATATATATAGAATATATATATAGAATATATATATATAGAATATATATATAGAATATATATATATAGAATATATATATAGAATATATATATATAGAATATATATATAGAATATATATATATAGAATATATATATAGAATATATATATATAGAATATATATATAGAATATATATATATAGAATATATATATAGAATATATATATATAGTATATATAGAATATATATATATAGTATATATAGAATATATATATATAGAATATATATATAGAATATATATATATAGAATATATATATAGAATATATATATATAGAATATATATATAGAATATATATATATATAGAATATATATATAGAATATATATATATATATAGAATATATATATAGAATATATATATATAGAATATATATATAGAATATATATATATATTCTATCCCCAGTTTGCTTCCAGAACTCTTTGACTGTTAATTTCTGCCCTAAATTTTTCTAGTAGGAGATTGTTTGCATGATATGGTCTTTAAAGAATATTATTTGAAAAGTAAAACTCATATAGATTGTGCACAAGTAGAGCAGCAAAATTATTCCAATGCCAGAAGTTCTGAATTGTACCCTAACAGAACAGGAAATGTATAAAGGATTGTTTCCTTGCTAATGTTATCACACATGAACACTTTAGATTATATCATCTGTTCTGAAATACCAGAGAAAATCATATAGAATGATTTAATGGTTAGTTTGACAGTTTTTCTAAATGCATATATTTTTTAAATTTTCTCTTGAAGAGTTAAAAATATAAAAATATTTGATAATGTATATGTTCTAAATATATACTAATAGTTTAAACAATTGCAATTTATTAATGTTTTAATTTACACATTATATAATTATGCATATTATTTTCAATAAATACTATTTTTAACTTTAAAAATTCAGAGCAAAGACATTTCTATGTAATTATGTACTTATAAGCTTTCTTTTATAAAAGTATATTCATTTGGTACTTGGGTTTTTTTCTAGTTGTATTTTATAGTCTGCTAGATAAATCCTCATGTTCATTTGTTTCAACAGGGCTTGAATAAAGGTCATTTAAACTGGCTCACCTTTCTTATCCCCCTGTGCTTTTCCATAATCCCTACTTCCATCGAAAAAGTAGGATAGCTTCTTTCTCAATGTACCTTTTTCAGAATGAGACAATAAACATTTCATTAAACAAACCTAAGTCTATTGGACTTTAATTCCACACTCCTCTTGTGTTCTGTTTTGTGCATGTGTGAAAATTATTAAGTTATTTTGTAAGCTCTAAACAATCTTACTGAACTTGCTAGCTATAAATTATTTTACAATTTTGATACGCAACTGTAGTTGAGCAATGTAATACACATATGTAAACATTTAATATTATGATGGCATATTCTTCCAAAAGCAATAGTTTTAATACCATAAACAGAGATCTTCAAGTCAAGTTCCCATTCCCTGCTGAATTCCCTTATTTTTTGACAAGGATAATTTTTGGCTAAATTATTTTTCCATAGATATAAAGGCTGAGTTTTTAACTTTTAAATAAAATGACTGCAGGACTTAATGAATAATGAGGTCTTTTTTTTTTTTTTCACTTTTATACAAGAAAGGAACACAATGCATTTAACTCATGGTACCTATAATGAAATTCTTACTTGGTGCTGTAAGAACAAATATATGCTCTTACTTGTTATAAGAACAATACGTGTGCAACTCAAGTAGTTCAGAGACTTTATTAATTATCCACTACAATACTATAATCAACTTTAATGAGGAATTGAAGCAGGACTAGAATAAGTCATTGTGATCAACCTCCTCAATCTTCTTTATAATCATTAAATTCAATTTCTTGGTCTGGCCCACAAGTTGTAGGCTACTCTCACCATGAGCAAAATTTACCTTTTAGCTGAACTGTGTAAAAACGTCCCATGGTGTCAACACCTTACTCAAATCAAAACTATCCGTGTCTGTTCACTTCACTCTTTTACCCCAGTCCCTGAATGCTGTCTGGTTCCAACTTTACTGACCACAAAATGTTGCACATATGTTTTGTTACTAAGCTACACTGAATGTCACCATTTAATCCACTGTCACTTACAAAACAATCATCCCCCTCCTCACCTTTGCTAACAGAACTCAGGTTTGTTCACTTTCTTCTGAGCAACCATGTTTTTCAGAGATGAAAAAATATCCCAATAGAATGAAATGAAAGTAGTCTAAACTAAGTATAGTTGGTTTTATAACTCTTATTAAGTTCAGGCCTTTGGGATAGTCCTGGTCAATGATACACCAGATGAAATGTCCAGGCTGCTTCCTCCCTAACTGCCTTTACTACAGGAAAGCCATCCCAATCCAGACCCCAAGAGAGGGTTCTTGGATTTTGTGCAAGAAAGTATTTGAGGTGAGTACATAAAGTAAAGGGAAAGCAAGTTTATTAGAAAAGGAAAGAAACAACAGAATGGCTACTCCATAGAGCAGCCCCAAGGGCTGCTGGTTGCCCATTTTTTATGGTTATTTATTGATTATAGGCTAAACAAGGGGTGAATTATTCATACCTCCCCTTTTTACACCATACGGAATAACTTCCTGACTGGCATTTGTAAACTATCATGGCACTGGTGGGAGTGTAGCAGTGAGGATTACCAGAGGTCACTCTCATCGCCATCTTGGTTTTGGTGGGTCTTAGCTGGCTTCTTTTGCAAGCTATTTTATCAGCAAGCTCATTATGACCTGTCTCTTACACTGACTTGCTACCTCATCCTCTGACTAAGAATGTCCACAATCTGGGAATGCAGCCCAGTAGGTCTAAGCATCATTTTACCCAGCTCCTATTCAAGATGGAGTTGCTCTGGTTCAAATGCCTCTGACACCTTTGCTAATTGTTGTATGAATGTGTGATTCTTGAAGCTGCTACAGGCATCTTTTGATACTGAATAGCTAATGCTAACATACAAAAAGATGGAAAGAAAAAACTGTCCTTTATGATTTAGTTAAAATGCTGAGTTATATGAAATAATACATTTTCCTTTATAGTTTTATGCAACCAACAACAATCTGATTTATATATAAGCACATACTTCCACATTTTACTCAATTTTCAGAGGATGTGCACCTTAGATATTTTATTCTCATCTATTCTCTAATCTAAAAGGTTGACAATTTGAACCAAATTTTTCTGAATTTGTTTTGTACTCCAGAAATGGAGCATCTATTAGAATTTGCCTGAAAGATATTAAAATATTGATCAAGGAATTCTCTACATTTAAGAAGAATTTAAAGTATTTCCAGGCAGATTAAGACATAAGTTGCTAGTAACTCTAAAACTAAGACTTTTTTGAGTGTTTCATAACAATGCATAACTACCTTTCAAGTTTCTCCATGACTACATCTTTTACACACTAACATTATATACATTTAATTTTACCCTTTACCTAATATGAATTAGTTATTATAGTCCTAATAGATAGCAATGAAAGATCTAAAATTAATCCTACTTTTTAGTGACTACATTAGTTTATATATTTTGGGGAAGAAAAGAAATTCAGCGAGTCTGGAAATGATTTATTAAGTATATTTGAAAGTACAATGAGTCTCTCAGGCATGTAAAACATTTAATAGCTAAAGCTTCCCAAAATGTGGAACATTTGGCACAGTGATTCTCTGACATGGCTACATATACAAATTGTGATTAAAGGTTTTGCCGTTGTATTTGTGTTGGTTTATAACTGGAAATTCCAATTTGGAAAATGGAGCTTTGGCATCTGAATTTTAAAAATGATTCTTAGGTAATTCTGATGTGTATTTCATTTGTGAAACACCTAATAAGCCCACATTAACATTGCAGGGTACTCTATGAGCCAGCAGTGTTGAGTATCAAAAATAACTATTTGGAGTAAACAGAAAGGAAAATGACAATATTCTCTAAATAGGTCCCTGAAACTAAACTCAGGAAAGCTAGTTTTATTTTCTTATTTGTTTTATTCTGGCTTTTGTTTGTTTTATCAATGACATGTATATGTTCATTTTGGTGGGTTTCACAGGTCTGATTTTTTTTTTTCTTTGCTTCTTGGGGAGGAAATGATTGAAAATATCTACTACCAAACCCCATAATTTCTCAAGACAAAACTTTTGTTTTTTTACCACTAGTTCTACTGATTGTAGTTTTATTTTGGTGAGGGGTAAAGATGAAAACAAATAAGTAGGGCATAATATTTAATTTATTGGTTTTGCTTAAATAAAGTGACAAAGGCTGAAGCATGTGGGTGATAGCTTTAGAAAATAAAAAGGGTATCTAGGAACTAGACCTTACAGAGGGTCCAGCTAATCTCTGATTTCAGAATAGTCTATGCTGCTGGGTGGAAAAGTGGGCCCCACCTTGTTTCTAGATTACTGGCTATGCTTGCCAAAAGAGTACGTTGTTTAGCTATTGACTTTAAAATACACTAATATTTAGAAACAAATTAGTACATTCAAGAGATATTTCCTCAAAATAGAAGAAAACACTAAATAGATCAATGTATAAACTAATAATTGCTATTACTATAAGAAGTTATCGTGGAAAGTTAAATCTAGTTGCAGGAAGATGGAAAAGCTTTCTGTAAGGAGCTGATAAGTAACCCAATATGTGAAGGATGAATAGGAGATAACTGGGTAAAGAGAAGGGCAGAGAGTGGGGAAAAGCATGCCAAGCAAATGCAACAAAGTGCCAAGGCTCTGAGGTAGAGAGGAGCATTGTATACATGAGAACATGGAGAATTGAGGGAAAAACAAAACCGCGAATGGAGTAACTGGAGATGAATTTCAAAAAGTAACTTTTGAAGCTGTTCATCCAACAGTTTTGGGAAATCATATTGGCTAAAAGAAGCATGTAGATGGGAGGCAGAATTAATCTGGGGCGACCAGATTGTAAACCACTGAGGTAGCATTAACTATGATATTAATATTGAATACAGAAGTGCATACAACATAAAATCAGCAAGTGTTCATTTAGATTGGATGTGAAGGAGAAGAAGGTATTTTTTTTTCTGTAATTAAATAGGTGTGCCTTTCACTGATCACAGAAGAAGGGCCATATTGGGAAGAAGGCCATTTTTGGACACATATATTTTTGAGGGACGTTTGAAGTATTAAAGTGGAAATTCCAGGGCAACCTTTAGGGATATATACTTAGAATTCAGAAAAGAGGGCTGCACTAAAGGCAAAAATCTGGCCAGCAATAGCGTGTCAATCCTAAGTGAGGATGTGGGATTTTTGAGATCGATGGAGTGCCCAGAAGCAGTCAAGGATCAAGAAGTTGTGTGAGATTTAAACTTATTAAACATTTATAAGGGTAATGATAAGTTATTGTTTAAGGAGACTCAAATATTCTACATACAAATTCAAGACAGATAACTGTATGGTTACCCTAGGCAAAATTACTAACAGAGTCAAAGTAGCCATAATTAGGGACATTTAAAGTATTTAAGTGGAAATTTCAGGGCAACCTCTAGGGATATATACATAGAATTCAGAGAAGAGGGCTGCACTAAAGGCAAAAATCTGGCCAGCAATAGTGTATCAATCCTAAGTGAGGATGTAGGATTTTTGAGATCGATGGAGCGCACAGAAGCAGTCAAGGATCAAGAAGTGGTGCGAGATTTAAACTTATTAAACATTTATAAGGGCAATGATAAGTTATTGTTTAAGAATACTCAAATATTCTACATGCAAATTCAAGACAGATAACTGTATGGTTACCCTAAGCAAAATTACTAGCAGTGTCAAAGTAGCCATAATTAAAAAGTGAATGTGGTATTAAATACCTATATTTTCTTACTGCATTATTGGTAACTATGGGTAAGAAGTTGCCTGTTTCCATTATTCTTGTCAGGTCCACTAATTCTTGTCCCAATTGAGCATACCTACCTGCCTCTTTGCCCTGTGCATGTCTCTGCCTGCCCGTGTTATATAAGCACCTTCCTTTTACTGGAGATGATATATTGGTGAAAGAAAAATATAATTCTATATGTCTTGAAATGATCTAAGTTCAATCTTCAAAGTAAGATTTTTCCTTTACTACGGAAACTTTTAAAATGATACTTTTATTGCTTTAGCTATTTCTATTCCAATGTGCAATTTCACAAATTTATGAAATACCATAAATTCTGGAGGTATGACTCTTCATCTATGTCTTTTACCTCCAAGTGACTATTCACTTTCATATCACTTTAGAAGTATATACTAATATTTCTCTACAAGGTATCTTACACTCTGTAACTACTGAAGTCTCAATGATTTTAGGTGAGTACGTTTATTGTCTAGATTACACATCATTGAAGAGACTTCTTCATTATTCAGAACGTTATCTCTCTAGTGGTTTTCTTTCTCTTATTACCAAATGACCCTCGAGTTCAGGAAATGAGATTTAATCTCCTACTTGCTATTCAACAGACTGTGAGGTGTTTTTCTATGTAAGTAGAACAGTATATGGCATATAGTAAGTGCTGAATAACTGTTAGATAAATGAGTGAGCAAATAAACACTTCACAAGCATTTTGGAGTTTGCTGTGGCATCACAGCTAGTTGTATTTGTAAGCAAAACTGCAGAAAACATAGAAACTGTAATACTCCATGGAAGTAATATTTTCCTGTATACATGTCAATTAGCACAGGGACTTTTTCAGACAATGTCGCCCCTAATGTGTGTGCAGAATAAAAATATACAACTTTGTGAATCTAATTTTGGTTACTGTGAATCCTAAAAATCCCGTTAGGGATTGTATGGCAAAGAAAATCTCTTTCTACCCATTGCTTCTTCAGAAACACATGTGCATTAACCATCACCCACAGTAGTCTAGATGTTAAATTTTCTTTTCCTTCTGGTAGTTGATTCTCATTATTCACATTAATTATGTTCTATAAAATTACCACAAGCACTGAATTAGCTAATAAAGAACCATTGCTCCTGGGGAAAATACGGTTAGGTTTGTCTGGTCACAAATTTCACCAATTAATTAATACCTAACCTTGCATTTAAAGATAACTTATCTAATATATACTGTTGATTCAATAACATTGAACTCATATCCAGCAGCCCTATAATGCATGTGTGAATGAACTTTACCTAGCACACCAACTTTCTCTGTAGTCACAGCCTTCTTGCACTTAGGAACATTAGACAGAGCTTCAGCACTACGCTTAGAGGCCATTTTAAACAGCAACTCACCAACAGAAAGGACAAACAAAAAAAAGTCACACACACAAAAAAACGAAAAAAAAAAAGAAAGAACATTCATGTGCAGTATGAGAGCAGAAACCACAAGCAGAAGGTCATCTTGTTCTGCTTCAGTTGGGAACTGTGCATCAGGCAAATCACGTTTTTCTCTGCTCTGTGTTTGCTGGATTTGTTTGCAATGACCTCAAAAACACCCTGAGTAGTGATTTGGGGGTTACAAATAAATTTCAGCAAGCAGGCAAATTTGCAAATTCCAAATGTCCAAATCATGAAGAATCACCGTATTTCAGTGGATTGTGAAAGGTATACCTCCCTGAAAACATTTATTGGAGGCCATATTGTTCAAAGACAAGGAAACAGTAACTAATCATGCACTTCCCAGGTAATAATGAAAAGAAAATGTTTATTAAAGAGGATAGAATAAAACCTAATTCTATGTTGACCCTCAGTAGCTTTATATCAAATTAAGTAAAACTCAATTACCACTTTAAGGTTTTTCTGAAACAGTCAAACAGAAGGGAAGAAAATTGCTGATTCTTCCCAATAGGTTTCATACTAACCAAACAACTGTAGGTTTCTACCTTTGTAGATGTTATTATTTTCCCATCTCTTACTATTGAATCACAATGTTTCTTTTAGGATATATGTGTTTTTCAGATATGTTATTAAAAAGCAAGTATTATATATTTTATATTAACCCTTAAATACACTTAAATGTCAAGCACAATTTTTGAATCCAGGAGAGTATTGACAAATCAGCTAATTCTATCACACATGAGAAAACTGAGGTCAACAAATGTTAAGTGATAAACATGTTCATACAGTACATTTAAAATTAATGGGTAGAGCCGGGAGCGGTGGTTCACGCCTATAATCCCAGCACTTTGGAAAGGCTGGAGCAGGCAGATCATTTGAGGCCAGGAGTTTGAGACCAGCCTGGCCAACATGGTGAAGCCCTGCTCCCACTAAAAATAGAAAAAATAGCTGGGCATGGTGGTGCACTCCTGTAATCCCAACTACCAGGGAGGCTGAGACATGAGAATCTTTTGAACCCAGGAGATGGAGACTACAGTGAGCTGAAATTATGCCACTGCACTCCAGCCTGGGCAACAGAGGAAGACTCTGTCTCAAAGGAAAAAAAAAAAAACATGGGTAGATTAAATGTGTGCTCACCTTGAGAATAAAACATATTGTCTTACGCTGAGTTTAAAAAAAATCTTTAGAAAACCATGAATTACATTTAGTTGAGAAGCAGTGCCCAAATGATTAAGAAGCCAGAAGCAACTCTAAACCTATCAGTCAGCTTTTGAAAGTACACTATGATTCAAATAAATCTCATGATATTCTTTCTTGTTTCCAGATTTTCCACCTAACTTTTGTGATTTTTTTTCTCCTTTTCAATGCAATGCACATTTCTCTCAGTTGTATATTTTTAATGCAGAGATTTTGCTTTGATAAAGCACAAACTGGAACAAAGCAAGTTGATACTCACTAAAGGATTGAATGTGAAAAATAATCATGAGTGACTGCTTGGTTTATATTGAAAATATACTGAGAATAGAGTTCTACTTTCAGTACATTATTAATTGCAAGGTGACTCTGAAATAAATACAGGTTTTTTACTTTCTCATTCAGTCCTGTGTTGTTACAAATAAGTTTTTTGACCTTCTGATGCATAACAGTAAGTTGCAGTCACATAGAAATTATAAAATATTCTTTAAATTATTGTTACATGGCTAAATGGTAGCATTGATTTAAATAAGATCTTGAAGTACTTTTATAGGCATATCTGCTTTTTTTTCTTTTTCATCAGCTTTTTAATTCAAATTAATCATTTGAGCCACAACTTACCCAAATTAGTAGAACCTCCAATTTCTCATTCCTAAGACCTAAAATAACAACAACAACAAAATGCTGGAGTTTTATTCAGCCCAAAGTCAGGTTTGTTTCCAAAAGATCTGATTGGAGAACCTTAATAATCTAAAACCAGATACCAATTTTTAGCTCTCCTTGCATCTTTCATTGCCACAGAGGTCACATTTAAAACTAGTTCGGGGCTAGGCATGGTGGTTCATGCCCGTAATTCTACTGTTTTGGGAGGCCAAGGCAGGAGGATCATTGAGGCTGGGAGTTTAAGGACAGCCTAGGCAACATAGTGAGACTCCATCTCTACAAAAAAAAAAAAATGTCAAAAAATTGGCCAGGTATGGGTGCACATTCCTGTAGTTCTAGCAACTTTGGAGCCTGAGGCAGGGGGATCACCTCGGCCCAGGAGTTCAAGGCTGCGGTCAGCTCTGATCATGTCACTGTGCTCAACCTGGGTGACAGAGCAAGACCCTGTTTCAAGAAAAACAAACAAACAAAGAAACAAACAAAAACTATATCCCTTCAGAGATCACAGTAGTTAATGAGGAATGTGTCCAGCATTCAGTGAGAGCAATTCAGTTCATATTGTTATGCCCAACCATTGCTCCCAAATATGGCCTTCCAGGAAGGGTGTCTGACCAAGACAAGAGGAAGCCTTCAGCTTCAGCTATAGGTGGGGACCAACCCACCCCTCCTACACTGTCCATCAGTTCTGGATATTAAGTTGAGGATGACAGTTCAGAGACTCTCCTTTCCTTCATGATGCATTCTCTTTCAGTGACCCTGGCATATTTACAGCGAGCAGATTTAAGTTATAATCATGTCTCTCCATCAGAGAGATCATAATAACACAGAGATTCAAAAGATTCTACTTTCTTTCCTACTAAAGAAATTATTTTTTTTCAATACAAACATAATAAAACAACCATGACAAATCACAAAAGGTCTATCATAGAAGATCTTTAGGATAGTAAGATACACCACTCTTAGAGTTATGCAACAAATAGGAGCATACCAAATGACTCTCTTGAAAGAAAAGATACACCCTCAGGATAATGTGCATGTCCACCTGCCAGAAAAATTGTAGAACACCTTTAAGTGGCATCCTTGTGAAGTCCTACCTACCTCAATGTGCTGCTTTTAAAATATTGCTTAATAAATCATATAATGATACAGACACTGAGTTTATCATAACTAAATCTGCTTTTTCTTTGAAATAGCCCCACCTGGTCTCCTCTTCTACATCTTCCTAATCTTCACTCTAGTCCACATCCTAGTTTTCCTGTATTAATATTTGTTGCTAGTATTTGCATTGTTTCATGGTTAAGAAAGCATTTTCACATCCAATCTCCCCATAATCTTCACCGCTAAATTGGGAACATAGAAACAATGAAGCCAAAAAGGCTTCTACTTCTAGGCAAGATCTGCACACCTATTTACATCTGCAGACATATTTTCTAACCTCCTTACCTAAAAAATTCTAAAATATCTCATAAATGCTTTTTTAATAATTGAGAAGTATAAGTAAAATGTATATTAACTATAATTTACAATGGAAGATGACATAGATTACTTTGTTGATGAAAAAAGTTGGTTTCTAATTAAAAACTGAATAATATTTTGAACATTTATAATGTGCTAGACACTTCTATGTTAGTATCCCATTTGATACAATGAGGCCTTCCCTCATTTTATGAGGTCAGAAAAATTCTCCTGTGTGCATCGAAGAAGCAAGCACCCATGAGCTCTACAGAAGCAAGGTAATGCATTTTGCCAACAAGCACATCAACTTAGAGGAATATCCCGAGCCTGTTATGAATCCGCTACCCAGCCAACACCTTGATGCAGCCTTGTATCTTGAGCCTGTTATGAATCCTCTAACCAGCCAACACCTTGATGCAGCATTTTGAGGCCCTGAATAGGGGATCCAGGGAGGATGTGCCAGACTCCTGGAACACAAAAACTGTGAGATAATAAATGTGTGTTGTAGGAATTTGTTATGCAGCAATAGATGACTAATACACCTGTCAAATTTCAGTGAGTCAGCATTGGAGTCAGAATCTGAAGCCATAGTTGCCAGACCAAGTAGTCTTTCAAATGAATAATTAGCATCATTCATATTCAGTAGAAGGATGAAAAGCAAGACAGATGACAGATAGGTAGGTGGACGCATAGATAGATGGACAGATATGATGGATGTTAGATAGGTGATAGACAAGCTGATAGAAATACAGGGTGTCAGCTGGGCACGGTGGCTCACGCCTATAATCTAAGCACTTTGGGAGGCCGAGGGAGGCAGATCACCTGAGGTTGGGAGTTCAAGACCAGCCTGACCAACATGGAGAAACCCCATCTTAACCTAATATACAAAATTAGCTGAGCTTGGTGGCACATGCCTGTAATCCCAGCTACTCGAGAGGCTGAGGCAGGAGAATTGCTTGAACCCGGGAGGTGGAGGTAGCGGTGAGCCAGGATCGAGCCATTGCACTCAAGCCTGGGCAACAAGAGTGAAACTCCATCGAAAAAAAAAAAAGAAAAAGAAAGAAAGAGAAAGGAAAGGAAAAAAAAAGAAAAGAAAAGAGAAAAGAAAAGAAAAGAAAAGAAATATAGGACTTCCAAGTCTCTAGTATAGAAAAACACTAAAGTCAGTAAACTCAGAGATATAAAGGCCACAAATACTGTTTTAATCACTGACATAGTTTTAAACGGGTAATTTTAAACTCTAGAATATAAAAGAGTACAAAATTACAAGTAATGGATGATGCCTATGAGCACATTATATAATAAATTTGAAAAATGAAGTAGAAAATAGTGACAATGTCTTTCACTTGACACTTTAAAATAGTGCTTTGAAATCGTAAGCTAATTTTCCTCTAAACAAACATTGTCTTTACATTGTAATTTTGAAAAGTTTTATCTGTCCTAGGCAGCTGTAATATATTGCTCCTCTTTCCCTCTGAAGTCATTAATTCTTGGCTCTGCTCCTGTGACAGTGCTGCTTGCTTGTCTGTGGTGCTTATTGAGTGTGAGCATAGAATTTGGAGTCTTACAACATACGTTCAAATACTAACACCAAGACTTATTGGCATGTAAACTTGGAGGGTCTTTTTACCCACCGAAGTTTCAGTTTCTCATTTGTAAAATTGAAATGATAATAAGAGTTACAAGCATTAGATATTGCTATAAATATCAAACCTGATAATGTCCTGAAATTGCTAAGTATATGTCTTTAAAATCAAATGCTCATAAACAAACTTCTTTTTGCTTTTTTTTTTAAATCACTGATGGCTACTTAATGTTTAGGCACAAGGATTGACAGCAATGTGGTATGAATAACAAGTTATTTTGAACAAGGCATGCTGGTTTCAGTATGAGAAATTATTACACTCCTCAGGTAGATTTCAAAGATCTCAAGAGCAGATTCATGTTTAACAAACCTCTGCTATGTACTGGGAACAACAGCAGACATAGCAGACATGCACATCTCATGGGTCATCTTCTTAACCTTCACCCACAGCTCCTGGGATGTGTATTAATATTTCATATTACAAATGGAGAAACTCCTATAGAGGAAAAGCTCCCAATAAGCTAGGACAAAACAAAAGTACAAAACAAAAGTACAAAACTAGGTTGTATTTGTTTGTTTCTGTTGTTTACACACAGTGAACAGCATGCCCTCAAGATTTCTTGATCACATCATTCTCAAAGCAGTATTCCTCAAAATTGTAATGCAAGCAAAGCACTTGAAGCCTTTGCCAGGGTACTGTGAAAAACGTGTTAGATCACTTCTCTGCTGGCAAAACTGAGCTAGTTGTGCTCAGCACTCAGTTAGTACATAGGCAGCTCTAGAACTTGCTACATCAAGGGTAGGTTCCCAGACCTTTAGACTGGTTCCACGATAGTGATGTTTGGATGTTGTACAAAGCAAGCAGAAAAATGTAGTCCAAACAGCTTGTATATATACATAAAATATATATATACACACAGACACATACGCATATACACATATGTATTTTTTTAATGTGACTTGAGATATAGAATCACACAATGGGTCTTATGTAATACTCTTACCCATCAACCAAGAAGGAAAAATTGAAATTCAAGTTCATGTCACTTGTGGGAAGGCTGCCCGAACTTATACTACCTGCATGTCTATAAATCCAAAGACTAGGTCCAGTACTAAATAAATGATTGGCACTCTTGAAAGAGTAAACGCAAAAGTAGTTTAGGAGTATATTTGGACCACATTGTGTTATCATGGAGTGACTGAGAATGACACACAAAAATACTTAAACCTTAGTATACCATGTATCATACCTCAGCAATATTGTGCTTCATAAAATTCTGAGATTGATATGGCTCATGCAACATGGCCTGTGACATATATCCAGGCAAAACTCCATGTTAGTCTATGCAAAACTTATATAAAAACAGTTATACTTATTTCAGAATGCCTATGACCCAGAGGCTACTATTTGTAATTGTGGCTTTTAGGGGCTAGAAATCTATTACACCCTTTAAAGAATGTCTGCATTCTTACTATACTAACATACAGACAGTCAGTCCCGAACTTATGATGGTTCAACTTGCAGTTTTTCAACTTTACTGTGGTTAGAAAGCCATACACATTCAGTTGAAACTGTCCTTTGAATTTTGAATTTTGATTTTTTTCCAAGCTAGAGATAACGCACTATGATACTCTCTTATGATGCTGGGTAGCAGCCTCTAGTCAGCCACATGATCACAAGGATAAACAACTGATACTTGATAACTTCCTGAAAAACACTGCACCCACGAAACCATCAAGTGTTGATGTCCCAGTGCCCCCATCAGCTATTCTCCGCCTCATCAGAAATGACAGAGATGGATGATCTTGTCATTGTTGCATCCCTATCACTGAGCAATTAACTTTAGTTCAATGCTTCAAACATTCCTCAGGCCCATTGTGCTTTCTGCTGTGCACATTAATGGTAACTACACATACCACCATTTGTTTTTAAATTTTCAGTACAGTATTCAATAAATTAACATGAGATATTCAATACTTTGTTGTAAATTAGGCATTGTGTTGGATGATTTCACCCAACCATAAGCTAATGTAAGTGTTCTGAACACTATTAAGGTAGTCTAGGCCAAGTTTATGCTTGATAGGTTAGGTGTATTAAGTGCACTTTTGACTTAATGATTTCAATGTATTATGGGTTTATTGAGATGGAATGCCACAGTAAGTCAAGGAGCAGCTATACCTCATCTTTTAAATAAGTAGATTTTGATATATTTAAATATTGTCTATATCTGTTCTTTCTATCCATCTGTTCACACTACTGTCATTTCTTAAAAGAGTATTTGTTCATGCATGTTATCCTTAAAGTTACTAATGTACTAATATCTCATTTTAATCTACAAGAGGGAATCATGGCATACTTTTCATATATATATATTTAAATACACAGATACAGACACAGATAACACATTCATATACATACAAATATAATTTTCATTGAGTATCTCGAGGAACTAGAGTTTTAGAGAAGAAATTTAAGTAATGTTAGCTTAAGCTAATGATGTTCAAACTGTGACTTTGTGACTCCATTCTGTTTAGTCTCAATTGCAATTCATTTTTCTGTGTAGATTTTCTATCATACTATTCTGTGGGACTTATATTTTGGTTATCTTAGAAAAATATGGCATATTTAATTTTTTAAATGCCAACACTTAATAGAAAAATACACGTGTACCTTGCCTTTAAAATTTACATCTCAGGAAAAAAAAGTACTTAAAAAATATTAATTTCCACTAGATACTCTAAATGTTTCTTTTATGTGAAATAAATGAATGAAAAATTGAGTACTATTATTTATCAAAATTGGGGTGTACCCTAATGATGTTATAATTCATGAATATGCATCTTCTGTAAAGCAGAAAAATTTAAAGCAGTTAACATGCAAAGCCTTTCAGAGTGGCAGTCCTTAATATACCAAATATGTAATGATTTTGCTTCTTTTGCACATTGAGATTCAGTAAACTCTAGGGTCCTGAAATGATAGCTATGACTATTTCTTAGTTTCCTAAAAAGTGCCATATTGATTTGTTAAAGTAATAAATGTTTTTATGTTTAGAAAAAAAATGACAAACTTTTAAACATTATCCATAAAAATAGAGAAGTAATTTAAGCATAATAAAACCATTATTAATAAAAGAAGAAAAATGTGTTCAGCTTCATACTTGGGTTTTATGGAATTTGAGTTCATTTTTGAATTAGATCAGATTTAGTATTATACCAGAATGGATCATTTTCAATACAATCATAATGAACATTACCATATACTGTACAGCAAAAGCGCAGAGCTGAGCTTGCCAAAATTTCATTCTTGGAAGCACTGCCAATGCAAAAATAGCTCCCTCCCCTTAGTACAATATTTAAGAGGCTTTAAAATTCTTCAGAGAATTATTGGAAGTTACCTTATAAAAGAAGCAATCATTTGTAAGTTTGAAGCTGAATTACATTGTTTGTTTTCCATCTAACAATTCTTTCTGCTCCCTATGGTTGTTTGAGACTTTGCATGGCCATTCAATATTTTAAAGCAACTATTTTGCTACCATCTGCCACTTATCTCTTTGGCTCCCATCTCTCTTGCTCTCATCACTATTGATTTTCCAAATGGAGCCACCATAAAATAAATGTACCAATTATTACATTTAGGTTGGAAAAAGCATTGGCTACTGTAAATTGTTTCCAAGTTATTAAAGTATCAGTAAAAATAAACAAAAAGTAAAAGCATTTCTTTGAGTTACAGGTTTTGACACTAATCATTTAAGTTTAAATCTATATAATCATGATTAGCCCTTATTTTCTATTTTGTAAAGTAAATTAGCTACACAAATTCCCACATTAAGACCTAAGCAAATTCTTAACACTGTTGGTCCTTCCAAATGCACCTATCGTATAGTTTGTTTGTTTTTTTGTTTGTTTGTTTTTTTGAGACGGAGTCTCGCCCTATCTCCCAGGCTGGAGTGCAGTGGCTTGATCTTGGCTCACTACAAGCTCCGCCTCCCGGGTTCACGCCATTCTCCTGCCTCAGCCTCCCCAGTAGCTGGGACTCCAGGCGCCTACCACCACGCCCAGCTAATTTTTTGTATTTTTAGTAGAGATGGGGGTTTCATCGTGTTAGCCAGGATGGTCTCAATCTCCTGACCTCGTGATTCGCCCACCTCGGCCTCCCAAAGTGCTGGGATTACAGGCGTGAGCCACCACGCCTGGCTCATATACATTTTTAAACTCTGTGCCATTTCTATTCAAAATTGAAATATCCTTTATGAAAAAGAACTTGTTAATATAAAAATGCATTTGATTTAAAATTATTTCTCTTGAAAAGCAAAACTACTCAGGCAATAAAGAGATCGGTGGTTACTAGGAGTTGAGGGTGGGAAGAAGGAATGAATAGATGGAACCCAGGGCATTTTTAGGGCATGTACCATACCAATGCAAGATGTTAATAATAGGGGAAACAGTGGTGGGGGGACACAGGAAGAGGGAGTAAATGGGAACTCTCCATACTATCAGTTCTGTTTTTGTTTAAATCTAAAAGTGATCCAAGAAAATTTATTTAAAAACAAACAAACAAAAAATCCTCTCTCTCACTTGTCTCTTCATGCTTCACTATGATTCTGTGTATCATTTCCTAAAAGTAATGTCAAGATGTGTGAGGAAGAAAATTTCGACAGTCTTCTATGGAGTGAAATGGCTCAAACTAAAATGTCATACTAAAGCAGAATTTCTCTCAACACAAGTATATAAGATATATTATGTTTTTGGCCTTTCCATTTAATTTAATTGTGGTTATGTTGGTGTAGGTAGTTAGACAGATATGAGCAGTGCCCCCAGAAATGTCAGGCACTCACTGGGTGATGGTCAGGCAATAATAAAACTGTCCGTCTAAAATGATAAGTGGTATTGGGTATTTAACCAAAGGAAGTCATGTGAAAAAGACAGATGCACATGCATGTTTATAGCAGCACAATTTGCAATTGCAAAGGCATGGAACCAACATTAATGGCCATCAATCAACCAGTAGACAAAGAAAATGGGGTATATATATATATATACCTCGGAATACTCTTCAGCTATAAAAAGAATGAAATAATGTTTTTTGCAGCCACTTGAATGGAGCTGGAGGCCTTTATTCTAAGTGAAGTAACTCAGCAGTGGAAAACCAAATATCATATGTTCTCACTTGTAAGTGGGAGCTAAGCTATGAGGATGCAAAGGTATAAGAATGATATAATGAACTTAGGGGACTTGGGGAAGGTTGGGAAGGGAGTAAGAGATAAGACTACATATTTGCTACAATGTACAATGCTCAGGTGAGGGGTAAATCTCAGAAATCACCACCAAAGAACTTATCCACATGTACCCCCAAAACTATTAAAATAAACGTTAAAATAAATAAAATAAAAATGGTTGAAATGGTTAAAAAATAATAATAATTAAATGATAAGTGGTCACAGCTAGCGCCAAGAGGGAAAGAAGTTCCCCCGAATAGAAAACAAGCCAGCAAACCACAATTCCCCGATAAGGTCTTAAGCATGCACAGTAGGGGACAAAATGATGGACTTTAACCAGTATATGACCTTCCTCTGGGGACACTCAATGAGTAAGGCAAAATTGCCAAAAGTGAGCATGCACACAACCTCAGTAAGCACACTGCACATGCCACCCCTCCCAGCACTGACAGGCCACTGTGCATGCAACAATTGAGCAACAATGAGCTGCAAGAGAGGTATCAAGGGAGGGGATATAAAAATCCCGAGCCAAGGGCTGAGTGGGGCACTTAATCTCTCAAATTGCCTGCTTAGTCTTCTTCCAAGTGTCCTTTGCTTCTTTCAATGTACCTTTGTCTCTGCTTTAAAACTTGCCTCAATCTCTCAGGTCAAATATTTCCTCTGAGAAAACAAGGGCTGGGATCACTGCAGTCTCAACACCTTTTTGTGGACACACCACTTGTAACAGGTGGAGCAGGGATGGTGGAGCTGAAATTTCCATTTATACTTCCATGCAGGAAACCAATCAATCAATGATCAAATAGGTGTTTAGTAGCTCTGTGGCATTGCTTGAAAGAGTTGATGTATACAGATTACATGTTCCCAGGCTCTGTGTGACTAGGGACCCATTATGTTTGTTTTCATTGTTTTGTTTTTAAGCCTTTATATGCTTTATTCACATGCTCTTTCTGACAATAAGGAGATCAATGGTTACTAGGAGTTGAAGGTGGGAAGAAGGAATGAATAGGTGGAACTCAGTACATTTTTAGGGCAATAAAACTATTCTGTATGACACTTTAATGGTGGATATGTCATTATAAATTTATCAAAACCTTTGGAACTGTACAAAACAAAGAGTGAACCCTAATGTAAACTATGGACTTAGTTAATCATAATTCAAAGAATAAATTCTATATGTTGCAAATCTCAATAGATACCATGTATTGGCCCATCCTTTGGGATTGTTGAAAACAAGGGGAGGTGGTATGAGAAGACAGTGTAATATAAGATATGGAAAAATTACTTGGGGCTCAAATTTAACTCTTCCTAATGCTTGTTACGTTATATAGCTGTTGATAGCTATAAGAAGAAGAAGAAATTCTATACGTTGCAAATAAAAGAAGAATTTAAGAAAGAAGAAATTCTATATGTTGCAAATCTCAATAGATATGGTATTGGCCCATATTTTGAGATCGTTAAAAGAAAAGGGAGGTGATATGAGAAGATACTATAAGAAAAGAGATGAAAAAGTTATTTGGGGCTCAACTTAACTCTTCCTAATACTAGCTAAGTTATACAACTGTTGACAGTTATATAACCATCATAACTACATGAGCCCTCATTTAATGTTCTTACGTAAAAGTTCGGTTCCAAATAGCCAATAGGAATATATATTTACTATATATTGAAATCTAACAGAGCGATTTCATTAACATCACATAGTAGAAACAATGCATATTTAATGATGTATTTAAGATACTATATTTGGAGGTTGGCTAGGAAAAAAAAAAGATACTATATTTACTATGTACTTTTTTCTACTTTTAAATACTCAGTAATTTGAAAGGAGATGCTAACAATTTCATTCAGTGGATTTTGATGGAGGCGAGAGGAGAAAGAAAATAAAACAAAACTCAAGCCACATCCACTGATGTTTTTAGCCTAACATGTACTACGTTGGGGTTTGAAAGAGCCTTATTTGTAACACATTCATAAGAGATGCTGCTGAACACTGGAAGTCTCAGAAATGTGTCTTAAAAGTGTTCCTGACTCAAGCCTAAGTTCCCTATGTTTGGAATAGCTATTTTTAACCCAGAAATGACAATATATCTCACGTTTAAAATCATAGTATTTTATCTCATAAAGTCTAGTTAATTGATATATAATAATTTAGTATTTCCTTAACTGTTCCATTTTTAAAACTTTTAAGTTCATAGATACATGTGCAGGTTCGTTGTATAGTTTTACTTGTTTTATGCGAGTTTCAGTGGAAGAAAAAGAAAGAAAAATGCTCTTTTTTTTTTTAACCTAGCAACAAGACATACAATTGAAAATGAAGAAATCCACTATCTCTATCTCAAGGACAATAATAAAAAAAAACCTGCCATAGAAAATGTCCCCCACAGATTCATCATTCTAAAGTTGAATTGTGAAACTTGTTAAAGCATAGATATGAAAAGCATTGCCAATATGTCAACCACCTTAGTATCATCCAAACTTCTTGCAGTCACTGCATTTTCTTCTGTAAGGGATGTCAAGATTTCATCAAAATGTCTTTTTATTTGGATAGTCTCCATACAGTTGTCTGCCTATTTTCACTCTCTGGTTTGCAACTTCTCGTGTACCAGTTGTCATTTCTGTAACCTTTCCAACAGCAACTGTGCAGTCCTGGGACCAAGATGCAGAATATCTCACTCAACAATCCTCCCACAAACCATCTGTTCTTAGAGACATCAACAACTGTTGGCATTGGGAGATTCGGCATAATGGGAAAGAAATTGTTCAAAATGATAAAGTGAAACTTTCTCAGAAATCTTAAATCCCAAGCACAATAGGAAAATAATTGCCTGACATATATAACCAGCATTATGTGAATTAAATAATTCTTGTATTAAAAAAACATAAAAAATAAAAACACCAAAACCCTTTCACTCTTCCATCAGATTTATACAAATTATACATGAAAATGTTTAAATTATGGCACCAAATCTGTAAAATCATGCAGTTTGCAAAATAAAATCTCTACCAAAATGAAAACATTCATAACATTGACTCTTCCAAACAAGGCAATATATATTTATACGTGTATATATTTATCTGTAAATATGTACTATATATATATATACATGTATGCACGTGTGTATAAATAAACATATACATGTGTATGTATGTGTTGTTCTTTGTTTCTCTACTCTGCACTTTCAATCCGCAAGTCAACTTATTTCCCGTCAAAAATTTCTAAAGTAATTATAATTAAACACGGAGAACAAAACGAAATATTGCTTTCTAATTATAACAGTAATAGTAGTTTTTGTTTGTTTTTTGCCGTATTCTGTCCTTTTTGGTATTAAACAGAAAAAAAAAAATACCTAAATACCTTTCAGAACAAGTACTAGTTGAAAAACTATGCACCAGTCCCAAATGTGTACCATTTCTCCCTGAAAATATTTATAGTCTTTCATTTAAAATGATCCACAGCAATGCTTGAGTAAAAGCATGAATGGAATTTTAATATCTTCCTGCATTTTGAATTGGAAATTCTACTGCTCTTGAATAGTAAATGATCACCAATAACCTGGCATTATCCAACTCACTTTCATGGGGTAACTAAGTTATTTTAGAGAGATTCTATTTTTTAAAATAAAAATGGTTTTAGAGTTGATGTGATTTTTAACATTTAATATGATTTCAAGAATAATTTTTAAAATATGTAGGACAATGTTATTATCCCCAATTTACAGAAAAGTATTAGATGAGCTACTTAAAGTCACATACCTTAGAAGTAGCAGAGACAGAACTCAGAAAGCATGTTTTACCATTTCAAAAATAAGTTCAAATTTTTTACAGAAATTTTTTGAGTTGACTTTTTAAACATAAAATGTCTTTTTCTCTCTTAATTATGTAAGATTACCTATCAACATATTCTTGAATGCACAGGTGATAAATTATTTGAATATAATATAAGTTAAAACCACAAATATTTTTATGCATCTATCTATAAAATATAGATCAGAAACCACATCTAGATTAGTCTCATTAGTTTTATAGAAAATATGACACCAAAATGATATTATAAAGTTTACGTCTGATTTTAAAGACTATTTCTAAAGATATAAGTTGCCACACAACATATATTAATTCTGGAAAATAACTCATAGCCAAAATACCTTTCATATCTACTTCCTTCTTTTCTAATGAATTCTTTTGTGTTACTTCATCTTGGTTCCTAGTCTGTTAAATCTCATGCCATTAATGTCTAATAGTTAATATTTTGGTCTCTTTAAGGCCTAAAGCTTAAATAGTTTCAGTGTGATAATTAGCAAATCTGTAATAGTTCTGTGCCTCTCTTTGAATCTCAGGTCTGTGAACCAGAGTCAGAGCATGTTTTATCTTGTATGTATTATTCATCACTCTCATACTCAGAGGGAATTTTCACAGACATGAAAGTATTTCAATTTTTCTTTTTCTGAGGAAACATTCATGTCCAGTTGGACTAATTACCACAGCCAGTTAACTCTCAATTACATGGGCAAAACAAATCATGTCATTTAAAAAGTTACGATTGTCACTACAAGTAGTCTTTTTGTAAATGGATGATTATGTCACACTGATAGGGTTTATTTCAAAAGGCTGAGTAATTAGAAATCTCCTGCATAACTTCTTCAAAGTGATGACAAACATGAGCGTTTTAGACCATTGATTTGCAACTAAAGATGGTTTTGCCTCCCCCACCCTTGCTCCCAGGTGATAATTGGCAATGTTTGAGGATATTTTGGGTGTTACACTGGAGAGGGGTACTATTGGCATCTACTGGATACAGGCCAGGGATGCTGCTAAACATCCTAAAATGCACAAGATAGCCCCTCACACAAATAATTATTTGGCTCAAAATGTTAATAATGGCAAAGCTGAGAACCCCTGACCTAGATAGTATCATACATAGAGTGGCTGCTAAAAACAAAATCTAGCTAATCATAATCCTGGTCACTTTGCTTTCATTTTAAAAGCTGAGGGAATAAGCTCAAAAATTATACATTTTTAATTTTATTTTTTCTATTTATTTTCATATTATACGCAGTTATACATTTTAGGTTGAGCTTCTGCTTCAGTAGTTTTCAATGCATAACAAATTAGAGAAATCAAAACTACCATTTCTCTTATCAGATTGAGACAGGAGATCCAGAAAGGTGTAGTTTAGATTCAGATCTTGTGAATTTCAGTGAACTGTTCTCCCATTCTTCTCTATTCAAGCTGGTTTGCAAAGAAACTGAAAAATAAGTAGAAGGATCATAAATATATAATAGATGGATAGAAGACAGATAAAGATAGATGATAGGCAGACAAATGAGAGAGAGAGAGAGAGAGAGAGAGAGAGAGAGAGAGAGAGAGAGAAAGGATAGTTAAAAAGAGCTTGGACCCTAGAGTCAGACTCCCTAAGCGTGCATTCCGGTTTCATGACTTACTAGTTGTGCAGCCTTTGACAAAGACTTAACAATTTAGAAACCTATGTTTTTAAAAACATATAATTGGGATAATATAATAAACCTACTTCATTAGGGTTGTCCTAAAGATTAAACTCACAGAATCCTTAGAGCCACACCTTACATATAATGTATTCTAAAATATCAACCCTCTATATAGCTACTTATACATTTTTACCTCAAATAATAGTGCTTTAAAAGATAAAGAATCTTAATACCTAAAATTATTTTATCTTTTCAGAAAGCGTAGATATTCTGAAAATTACACAATTATTTTGAAGAGCTTCAAATGATGGCCATATATATACAACACTGCTTCTCTGTAAAGCTAGTCCAATTGTCATTGTATTATTGATCACCATTGGAAATGATGAATAAAATGAAAACAGTGTTTTACCAGAAAATAACTAGATTTGCCAATCCTGCTTTTTCATATATATATAAATGGTTCATATATATATATATATATATATATATATATATATATATATATATATGGCTTTTTAACCATCATTTGAAATGTAGAGTGAAAATGAAATGTCTGCATTATCAGAAAATAGCTGGATTGACCAATGATGCTTTTTCATTTATATGTACATATTGGTGTTTTCATGCTTCTGATCTGAATTGCCCAGGCTTCAATAATTTATTTACCAGGCTTCTAAACTGCTTTGGGTGGTTTTGATTGAAGTTAACTCATTTTTTTCATCACTGTCATTGATCTAAGTCTTCCTACACTTTTCTTCTTCAGTAACTTAACAGTTTCATAACTTCAGTTTCTTAACAGTAACTCAAAAAAAAATGTATCCTTGTCTTCAACTTTCTGCTTTAATCTTTCTTATCTTAAAATTTCTTATCTCACCGTCTGTGCTGGCTTGTTCCAAATGACTATTATCTGAGGATTGACCTCTGTTATTCACTATTAAGTGATTAAATTCAGCAGGCACAGAAGAGCTTATTTTTAGACAGACTAGTATAAAGAATTCGACATCATGAATTATTATATGCTCAACCTTTGGCTCTTTAAAGACCACTAAGAACATCTATAGCAACATCCTTAATTTATATAATAATATAGCTACTCATAAACTTTACTATATAGTTGTATAAATATAAATTGTTGCATTTTAAACACGTAGTTATATAAATAATAGTAGAAATGGTTGAGTAAATCTTTAGGTTTTTCATTTATCAATTTTGATGTTTAACACAAAGGATACTAGCATTCTACAGTGGAGGCTTATATGGAGAGAGATTTGGAATTTTCCTCTTTTAAACAAAACATCCTCTAAATCTTGCTGGTAAAATTAGTTCACTGTAAAAATCACAATTATCTGGAGATTTGCGTTCTAATATTAACTTTAAATGAAACAGTTGGAGGTGAAGAAATCTGGTGATTTGGGGAGGGCATTTCAGTAGTATTGGTAGCTCTAACCCATGAAAATGGAAAAATCTCACTATTAAGTTTGCTGGACCACATCGTTGATTTTTCAACATAATATCAATAAGAAAATACATATATTTTTGAATGTTCAGATTTGCAGAGAAATAACCAATGACAAGAGAGATAATAAAACCAGATAAATAAAGGAAAGTAAGTCAAATTGCTATTTTCATATATCAATACCAAAACCATACACTTTTCAGAAGGATTTCTTATATAGAACTTTCTATACCATATGCTGAGTAACTGAGGAAGTTTCACAATCTTTTCTTGAAATACCAGATGCTAGGTTTGATGAATTAAGAAAGCTGGGCTTGAAATGTCTAATAATATATCTAGTTCTAAAACAGTAGAATGTTATATTAATATGAAATATAAATTCAGGGCTACAAAAGGTAAAAGGGAATTTTGCTTTCTTAGTTTAAACTCTTCCTTATTATCATTTTTATTTTAATCACCATGGCTTAGGAATATATTGTCTGCCATTTATTTCCTGGGTTAATATCTCTCTGATACCTCTTATATACTGCATGCAACCATTTCTCCCAGGATCTTAGGTTAAACTTCAACGGTTTAACTGCATGTCTAAAAGAGATCAGCCTGGTGCCTTGCAGAAGTGTCACTGGAACTTGACATGAAAACTCATGTTTGCTTGTTTGTTTTTCATCTTCCTGTCCTCTGCTTCCATATAATCAGCTCAAGTGAACATAGCACAGGAAACAGATCAAGATGTTGTTTGCTTCTCAACATTAACACACTAGTTGGCCTTTGGTAAATAAATCATTTGTCTGGGAGCTTTTTCTTTCTCCTCCAAATTGGTATTTATTTGGAAAATAACACACTTTTTCTTAGACTTACATTTTCGAGATTACATAAATTAAATGCCTGTAAAAATTCTTTGGGTTTTCTTAGACAGTAAATAAACCACAACATTATAAATTAGAATTCAATGTGACTTAGCCTATGTTTGATTCATGAAGCTTTGCAGTGGAGCATTTAATACATTCTGGTAATGCTTTGATTTGCATATCTTATATGTGGAACAGCCACTCAAATTTGTGACAGCTTCCTTAAGATTCACCTTGGTCAAGAATTCCTAGAAGATGCAGCAGAGGTTCATAAAATATCTTTGGGAATACCAGAAAGATCAGTCAAAGTGTAGGATAGATTTTGGGAAATACAAGTTCGTTATGACTCTAATTTTTTTAGTTGTTTATGAGATTAACAAATCATAAAAGAGAAGAATCTTGGACTTAAAGACATATTAAAAATTAGGACTCTGTAATGTGCCAACCAAGGATTGCTTTTTTCTCCATTTTCAACAGGAACAACAACAACAAACGTCCAGCGACTCTTATAGAACATGATTTCTACTACATTTTTGAGTCAATAGTATGAAAGCTATGAGAAGTGTGGTTTGAAAATCCAATTAAAATTAAAAGCGAAATATTCTAAGTCAAATTTTATACATAGAATTAATCTTATTCATATAGACAGTATATTTTTAAAAATTAGCGTGGAAAGCTGTCATATGACAGGTATTTTAGACTGTGATGTTTAGTTAAAAGTGTGTACAACTGATTCTACCATGCACTACTCTTAATCTGTCATTGAGATTGCAGGAACCTTGTTTTTCACAGTGGGCTAACTGTTCCATCTGGCCCATTTCTGTTTATATTTTTTCTTCACCTTTTTCTTTAGCTCATTCTATGTGATTCTCATTCCCATTTTTAAATATTTGAGGGCCCTTAAAATGACACAGCTATTCTCTGAATAATTCTGAATTCATTGAGAGCTGTCTATGGCCATACCACCCTGAATATGCCCAATCTCATCTGAATTCATGGAGAGATCATTTTTTAAATCTGGTAGAGGAATTTTGGTTTCTGATAACAGTAAATTCGCCTTGTGCAAACCATCTCTTTTATAAACAGACAAGCAACAATGAAATCTGGACAAAATACAATCAGACAAACAAATAAGCGAATTTTTGTTTGAATGCATCAAAGAATACTGAAGAAACCAGGACTTTTAAGGGCAGAATCCTGAAAAAAAAAAAAAAAATGAAGAAAATGTGGTACATATACACCATGGAATACTATGCAGCCATAAAAAGAATGAGATCATGTCCTTTGCAGGGAGACTATTATCTTTAACAAACTAACACAGGAACAGAAAACCAATGACCACATGTTCTCACTTATAAATGGAAGCTAAATGATGAGAACACATGGACACATAGAGAGGAAAAACACATACTGGGGCCTGTTGGAAGGTGGAGGGAGGAAGGATGTGGAGGACCACGAAAGATAATTAATGGGTACTGTGTTTAATACCTCGGTGATGATATAATCTGTACAACAAACCCCCATGAGACAAGTGTACCTATGTAACAAACCTGCACTTGTACCCCTGAACTTAAAATAAAAGTTAAAAAAAAAAAAAAAAGGAAAGAAGCTCTTCGAGGTCAGCCTAACCCTACTTCTCCCTAAAGGCAAGATTCTTAAGTGACAACAGTTGGGAGGTTAAGAAGTTGGAGCAGAGAGTGATAGCTAGAAGAGAGGTATTGAGTTCAGCATTAGTCAGTCTCCTGTGGCTTGGTCTCAGTAATTATGACTCAGATTATAGAAAATCATTCCCTTGCTTATAAATATTAGCTGCCTTCAATATTTATAAGACTTTTTGATCTTCACCTTTAGCTTAGATACTTTTGGCCATCCATGAACCAATTCTCTTGGCTTCTACCTTCTAACCCAAATATATCTGGGAAGCCCAACTGAAACCCCAGAAGTAGTCATGACATCAGGTAAATATCAAAACTTAAATTTTTTTGCTTATCTTTCTAATTTATGGCATGTAAGTAAGAGCTATTTTGCCAAATTCCTCTCCACTTGATTCAGATTACAATGAACTGAAAGCAAGAAGACAATTGTATTTGAATGTTTTTAGTTTCTATTAATATATTTTTATTTAATCCATGAGAATTTACTTTTAGGTAGTATAAAGCTCTTTCTTTTTTTACAAGTTATCTAAATATAAATCTTTTTATATGCTAAAACTTTATTTCATATTTTGTAGATCATTTCTTTTATGTATTATCATGTCCAACTCCAGAATTTAGGTCAACTTAATATTTGTTTCAAGTTACTAATTTGTCAATGTGCTGATATTGTTGTCAAAATAGCTGAAAAATAGCAAAACTACATTTCTACAATCAAAAACTATTTATTAAAAAGTATAGGCTCCTTATAGGCATGTCAACATACATTATGGGCTTAGCACAGTTTCTGGTACTAATAAATTTAATGGTAAATATGAGTTTTTAATGGATGACATCACTTACAGTTATTTTTATTATTATAGTTTCATTTTATGCAAATAATATAGTTTCCTTTTCTTAAGTCACTGCTGTCTGTTGTGTGGTTCTTGAGTCCTTGTTAACAAAATCAATAGAGGAATAATTAGAATAAAAAATAAACTTCTATTTATATTTATATAAAATAAATAATATAAATAAAACATTTATATTATATAAAATATAAATATATAATTCTATTTATATTTATTTTAATATATATTGAAATAGTATATATATACTATTTATAATTAGTATTCATTATTTCAAAAACGAATAAAGAAATTAAGATTTACTAATATTTAATAGACGTCATCAGGACCCTTAGGTCAGATGTCATATCAAATGGAGTAGAGTTAAAATATTTAAAAAGGCCATAATTGTTCAGAATTCATGTGGCCACAGACAGTAAGCACATGTGGGATTAATCAAAGCTGAAAGACACCAGGTATTTAAAATAAATCCAGTTGTAACATTCAAAAATTTGAGGTTTTGTTTTTCTTCTCCCCCCCGCCAACCTACTGGATCAGCTGCTACAGAGATTAGGTTTCTCATTTCTGTATCCATACATAAAAATCTGCATTAAAATTTCTGTTCCTGGAAATAGGGTAGAAACCAGAAAAATCTACAGAACATCTGATTAGTTTAAAACACAATTAATCAGATGACTAGTGATTGGAATTTAGTCATTTTAGGAATTAAATCCTGTGGGGCACAGCTGCCAAAAGCATCCTATGTTTCACAGATTAGACAATGTTTAATTAATAGATTAAAAGTAAGCCAAGCAAAACATAAGCAGTATTCACACTTGTATTTTGGCTAGCCAAATATAATGTGTGGCAGGAAATTTAGGCTTATTTAATAGGGAGTCACTCAATTTCAAGCTAAAAAGCATTTCCTGGTTCTGGCCATACATCACTGCACTTGAGTCATGATCAATTTGAAATATTCACTATTTATTTAGCTCATGATATAATACCATTCACGATCCATAATAGAGGCCATTATTTTGTACAAAAATGTTCTGCCATGATATTTTTAGAATATTTATTCAGAAATGTTTTCTTTTTTTCTTCTTTTTTTTTAGTATATTTAAGTTCTGGGATACTTGTGCAGAACATGCAGGTTTGTTACATAGGTATACATGTGCCATGGTGGTTTGCTGCACCCATCAACCCGTCATCTACATTAGGTATTTCTCCTAATATCCCTCCCCTTGCCTCCCACCCCTAGACAGGCCCCAGTGTGTGATGTTCTCGTCCCTGTGCCCATATGTTCTCATTATTCAACTCCCACTTACGAGTGAAAATATGCAGTGTTTGATTTTCTGTTCCCGTCTAAGTTTGCTGAGAATGATGGTTTCTAGCTTCATCCATGTCCTTGCAGAAGACATGAGCTCATTCTTGTTTATGTCTGTATAGTATTCCATGAGGATGTGGAGAAATAGGAATGCTTTTACACTATTGGTTGGAATGTAAATTAGGTCAACCATTGTGGAAGACACTGGCAATTCCTCAAGGATCTAGAACCAGAAATACCATTTGACCCAGCAATCCCACTACTAGGTATATATCCAAAGGATTATAAATCATTCTACTATAAAGACACATGCACACATATGTTTATTGCAGTACTATTCACAATAGCAAAGACTTGGAACCAACCCAAATGCCCATCAATAATAGACTGGATAAAGAAAATGTGACACATACACATCAAAAAAAATTTTTTTTTTTTTTTTTTTTTTTTTGAGACAGAGTCTCGCTCAGTCGCCCAGGTTGGAGTGCAGTGGCGCGATCTGGGCTCACAGCAAGCTCCGCCTCCCGGGTTCACGCCAATCTCCTGCCTCAGCCTCCCCAGTAGCTGGGACTACAGGCACCCGCCACCACGCCTGGCTAATTTTTTGTATTTTTAGTAGAGATGGGGTTTCACCTTGTTAGCCAGGATAGTCTCAATCTCCTGACCTTGTGATCCGCCCATCTCGGCCTCCCAAAGTGTTGGGATTACAGGCGTGAGCCACCACGCCCGGCCATCAAAAATATTTTCTAAATGAAAATTACAGAGGATATATTTATGGGTATTTGACAAACAGCATGCACAGTATTATGCCTCTTTCTTGTCTCAGCCAGTAGATGATTCCTTTTTTACCAGTGGGTTCTATAGTTCCATATGCTTGCATCCTATTTATTGGAAAATATTAAGAAGTCTTGAGTCCTGAGAACTACATCTCTACATATATTTATGTACACCCAAACAGATGACTGGTAAATGTGTTGCTGTCAGCTCTTTTTACTGGTCAGAACTTTGTGTCCTCCACAGAGAGTCAGCTCTATTACTGGAGCTTCAGGGTGGTAACCAAGCACAATCTAAAAAAAAGCTTTAAAATGTGAGCTTTAATATTAAAAGCAACAGTCTCAAAACTATAGTTAATATTCACCATCTTTCTTCTGCTTACTTTCAGCTAACACTTCAATAGATCTACCTTTCTGAAAGTTGTCATCAAACCTTCATGAGATGTGAGTCCCGATTACCTTGCCCTTACCAGGACATGGCTAAAGTCATAATCAGCTTATTTTTTTTTTTTTATTATCTCACATAGAAACGCCAAGAGGTTCCTCTAGGAATCTTCTGAGTTTCAGACATCTTCACTGAGTCTTTTATGTTACAAAAACCTTCATTTCTCGTCATGTTAATGGTCAGTTATCCCCACCCTACTACAGTAACTTCTTTTATGCCTGCTTTTCTATTGGTATGAGGAACTCAAAAATGACAGGATAAGAGTTGTAGCTATAAATTCATTGTAATTTTACTGAGAACCTGATGGAAGCCTGAAGACAAAGAATTCTAATCCTGTAAGCCTCAGGTTCTCATAAGAATTACATGGAGATAAGAATTACATAGTCACCTCAGGCACGGTGGCTCATTCCTGTAATCCCAGCATTTTGGGAGGCCAAGGAGGGCAGATTGCCTGAGGTCAGGAGTTTGAGACCAGTCTGGCCAAAATGGTGAAGCCCTGTCTCTACTAAAAATACAAAAAAATTAGCTGGGTGTGGTGGCAGGTGCCTGTAAGCCCAGCTACTCGGGAGGCTGAGGCAGGGGGATTGCTTGAACCAAGGAAGTGGGGGTTGCAGTGATCCGGGATCGTGCCACTGAACTTCCACTCTTACTTCTATTCCTTGATTCCTGGGCCCATGCACTCTATCTGTTGGAAACACAGCACTATATAAGTCATTGGTTCAAAGAATATAGCTTTTAAAAATATGTTTTCATGTTTGCTCAGGATAGCAGCTACTCAGTAATGCAGTATCTGACTGGGCTCACGAATCTTATGGTCCATGTACTCATTGTCAAATTCTCTTTGATTTAAATGCATCCCTTGGCCCTAGACAATGCCAGCTGAAACCTGTGACAGTAAGTCACAGTTCTAGAAGTCTTTATATAGTTTCTTTTGTGTGGAGCAGCTCTTTAGCTTAATTAGATCTCACTTGTCAATTTTGGCTTTTGTTGCAATTGCTTTTGGTGTTTTAGTCATGAAGTATTTTCCTATACCTATGTCCTGAATGGTATTGCTTAGGTTTTCTTCTACGGTTTTTATGGTACAAGGTCTTATGTTTTAGTCTTTAATCCATCTGAGTTAATTTTTGTATAAGGTGTAAGGAAGGGGTCCAGTTTCACTTTTCTGCATATGGCTAGCCAGTTTTCCCAACACCGTTTATTAAACAGGGAATCCTTTCCCCATTGCTTGTTTGTGTCAGGTTTGTCAAAGATCAGATGGTTGTAGATGTGTGGCATTATTTCTGAGGCCTCTGTTCTGTTCCATTGCTCTATATATCTGTTTTGGTACCAGTACCATGCTGTTTTGGTTACTGTAGCCTTGTAGTATAGTTTGAAATCAGGTAGCATGATGCCTCCAGCTTTGTTGTTTTTACTTAGGATTTTCATGGCTATATGGGCTCTTTTTTGGTTCCATATGAAATTTAAAGTAGTTTTTTCTATTCTGTGAAGAAAGTCAATGGTAGCTTGATGTGGATAACATTGAATATATAAATTACTTTGCACTGTTCACAATAGAAAAGACTTGGAACGAACCCAAATGCCCATCAGTGATAGTCTGGATAAAGAAAATGTCACACATATACACCATGGAATACTATGCAGCCATAAAAAAGAAGGAGTTCATGTCCTTTGCAGGGACATGGATGAAGCTGGAAGCCATCATTCTCAGCAAAGTAACACAGGAACATAAAACCAAACACTGCATGTTTTCACTCATAAGTGGGAGTTGAACAATGAGAACACATGGACACAGGGAGGGGAAAATCACACACCAGGGCAGTCGGGGGTTGAGGGACTAGGGGAGGGAAAACATTGGGAGAAATACCTAATGTAGATGACGGGTTGATGGGTGCAGCATACCATCATGGTATGTGTATACCTATGTAAGTAACCTGCACATTCTGCACATGTATCCCAGAATTTAAGTTATAATTTTTTTAAAAAAGTATTTATATAGAGGTGAAAAAAAGGCACTGAGGGCAGAGATAACAAATTCATATCCAGAATACAATTTAAATCTCAGGGACTATAAGCAACCCTCCCCTCCATGTAGTAAAGATGTGGACAATCAATCTAAGTAGTACCATATCAAGGGCTTACCATCAGTCATACATTCAGCAATGACAGCAGATAAATGAGTCTTGTTGAGAAAAGCCCTATGTTACTGTGCTCATTAATAAGCACTACATGTATCATCATGTCTATTTCATTCATAGGCCCACTGTACAAGTACTGAAATGGCTGATGACAGAGGATGTTCGACCCAGATGAGTCATCTTGTTCACTTAGTTTTGAAGTACCTCTTTTGAATGAGGCTTTAACATGACACAAAAACAAATCTGCATTTGTGTCCACTCCTATACCTCCATCAGCACGCCACTTCTCCTGAACTCTTACTTAGCCTCTGGACCTTTCTCTCTTCCTCCTTTCAGACCTCTCACCAACAAACCAAATCATTGCCACTTCTCAAGTTTGCAAGCATACCTTTACCTCTGATGACTTCTTCCATGAAACTAAGGTGATAACAATGTGTATTGCTCACAGTTCAGCTTGTTGGGAAGATTTCCCTCTCATCACTGTCCTCACAGCTATATCTAAATGTGGATGTGGAGCAGTGGTAGTCCATTTTTAGCTTGTAGTAACATATGGAGTGAGTCATCAACAACTGCTGTTCTAGTATGTATCTATGCATGTATTGATTTATTGTGTAAACATTTCTTCTTTATAAATAAAATAAAATATAATTTGAATTAAATGTAGGACTTCGGGTAAAAGAAAAAAATAGTAAAAAGAAAAGGCCAGGAATAAAATGTTGTTCACAAAATCAGACTGTGAAGTTTGGTGCACTGAAAAGATACAGAAATTGCTGCTGGGATAATAGAGCACATATCATGGATTTCCTTTGTAAAATATGTTTCTCTTCAGTGACAATACATTCGTGAAATATTTCATACCATCTGGTAGAGTTTAAGTATATGTGTCCCTCCCAAATTCATATGTTGGAACTCAGACCCCACAGTGATGGTATTAAGACGTGGGACTTTTAGTAAGTAGTTAGGTTATGAGGGCACAACCCCCACGAAGGAATTAATGCTCAAGGGAACTAGCTAGTACTTTTTAGTCCTTCCATCCCTTCCACCATGTGAGTACATAATGTTTACCCCCTCAGGAAGATGCAGCAACAATGTCCCTTCTCAGGAGCAGAGACCAGACCCTCAATAGATACTGAACCTGCTGGCACTTTAATTTTGTACTCCCAGCCTCAATAACTGTGAGCCATAAGTTTATGCAGTTTATATGTTACTCAGTCTCAGGTATTTTGTTATAGCAGCATAAGACACCATCTATTACATAATCAAAAAATATAACAAAAGAAAAAGTAGCAAATTCAACTAAGAAAATAAGGAGATGGCAGAAGGTTGATAAAAGTAAAAAGGAAACATATGAACAAAAGCTGGTTCTTTGAAAAAATAAATTAAACTAAACTCTAGCCAGACTAACCAAGACAAGAACAGAGAAGACAAAAATTACCAATATCAGGAATGAAACAAAAGTCATCACTTATTAGCCCAAGGACTATAATAGGATAGTAAAGGAACACCAAGAATGACTATTGCCATAAATTTGATAACTTACATAAAATGTATCAATTTCTTGAAAGACTCAAACTAACTCACACAAAGAGAAATAGATAACATGATAGCCCTATACCAATTAAAGATTTTGACTCAATGATTAATAACCTTTGAAAAAATGTAGTACCAGGCCCAGTTACTTTTGTATTCTACCAAACACTTCAGAAGAAAATAATACCGATATCCACAATCATTTCTAGAAAAATAGAAGCAGAGGGAATACTTCCTAACTCCCTCCCTGAGGCCAGAATTAACCTAATGCAGACCATTATCCTCTTAAACACTGATGCAAAAATCCCTCGTAAAATAATGGCTAATTGAATCCAACAATATATAGAAAGAATTGTATACCAAGACCAAGTAAGATTTATTTTAGGTAAGCAAGTCTGGTGTAACATTAAAAAATCAATCAACATAATCCACCATATCAACAGGATAAAGAAAAAAAATTATATTATCATATCAATTGATGCACAAAAAGCATTGATAAAATCCAATACCTATTCATGATAAAAAAAAAAGTTTGGAAAATTAGGAATAAAGAATAATTTCCTTAACTTGATGAAAACATTTATTTAAAAAAAACATATATTTGATCGTCAGAGATTGGATGCTTTCCTACTGATGTCCTTGGAAACAAGGCAAAAATTTCTTCTTTCACACTCCTATACAACATGTATTAAAGGACAAACTATTACAATAGGATAGTTTGACAGTTTCTTACAAAGTTAAACACTTCCTTACCTTATGAACTACAAACCATGCTTTTAGGTATTTATCCAACTGATTTAAAAAATAGAACACATAAAAACCTGCATGTGGATATCTATGGCAGACCTATTCATAATTGTCTAAAACTTGAAGTAACTAATATGTCCCTTAAGAGGTAAATGGATAAAGAGAGAGTGGTACATGTATATAATGAAATACTATTCAGCAATAATGAACGTATTATCAAGCTATGCAAATACATGAATGAATCTTAAATTCATATTTCTATCTGAAAGAAGACAGTCTAAAAAACTGTATACTATATGATTCCAATGATATAAGGTTCTGGAAAAGGTAAAACAATAGAGGTATTTAAAAACATCAGTGGATTCCAGGAATACAGGGTAGGGGCAGAGGTAAATAGGTAAATCACATGGGATCTTTTAGGGTGGTGGAAAACATTCTACATGAAACTGTAATCATGGAAACATGGCATCATGAATTTGTCAAGGCCTATAGGGCACAAAGACTAAAACTGAACACTATTGCAAAAAACCCTTGTGATGGTTAATATTACGTGTCAACTTGATTGAAGGATGCTTGGATAGCTGGTAAAGTATTGTTTCTGGGTGTGTCTGTAAGGGTGTTACGAGAGGAGATTAATATTTGAGTCAGTGGACTGGAAAAGGAGGACTCATACTCAATGCGGGTGGGCACCATTCAATCAGCTGCCAGCATGGCTAGAACAAAGCAAGTGAAAGAAGATAGGATAAGCTGGCTCACTGAGTCTTCTGGCTTTCATCCTTCTCCCATGCTGGATGCTTCCTGCACTTGGACATCAGACTCCAGGTTCTTTGGTCTTTGGACCCTTGGACTTACAACAGTGGTTTGCCAGGGGCTCTCAGGCCTTCGGCCACAGACTAAAGGTTGTACTGTTGGATTCCTTACTTTTGAGGCTTTTGGACTCAGCCTGAGCCACTACTGGCTTCCTTCCTCCTCAGCTTGCAGACAGCCTATCATGGGACACACCTTTTGATTGTGTGAGTTAATAAACTCCCTTTCATATATACATATATCCTATTAGTTCTGTCCCTCTGGAGAATCCTGACTAATACAACCCTTATGTATGGAAAACATTAAGATCATTTAGAAGGTCAAGAGTTATCAGAATAGAATGAAGAATGAGACAAACTAACCATATAACAAATTAAAAAAAAAACAACAAACCTGAAAGTGCTGACCTAAGCGATTTTGGAAAGGAGTTTTTGAAACCAAATGTGGTAAGAACCAGATGTAAATATTGTACTTGAGATGATAGATTTCTCCCAACTAGGTACAGGTTAACAATTCTGAAGCCATATATATTCGAATATATATATGAAGGACATATATTCGAATTGAACAATTAAAGAATGATGAACAGTGGGAATCAGTTTCTCACATTTAAAGTGGGTCATTACAGACCAGCAAAAGTAGAATCGTAGAATGATCAATGTGGTAATAAATTAGAAGTCATCACTGTGAACTCATGCTTGGCTCAAAATAGGTACATATAGTTATATAAAAAAGATATTTAGAGAATTATGTGTGTATGTATATATGCATGTGTCTGTGTATGTATATATACACATATGATAACACATATAGGAATATATATAGTTACTATATAGTTAACCTATATGTAGTTAACAACACATATAGAAACATATACAGTTCCTTATTCTCTCAGCTAAGCAGATCTAGAGGCAATGACACACCAGTGGCAACCATGACACCTAGTACCCAGATTTTGGTTTCTAATATCATTTTCAGTAGAAGGAAACAGTGAGTCTTAGAAAAATGTCTCATTCCAGGACTTGGAAGGAAATATTTATGATGAGTTTGAAGCATAGTATAATGCCAGAAAGTAGAATACTAAAACAAACAAAAGACACCCAAAAAACAAAAAGCAGCATTGGAAGTAAATTAAAGGGACACAAGAGCTAACTAAAAAAGCTACTAATGTCCATACCTGGAACAATTTGGGCAACAGAATAAATAAAGTGGTATTAGATTAAAACCCAAAGTGTAAAATAAATATCCATGAGTCTATATTGATAGAAATCAATTACTGAATTAAAAAAATAGATTGAGAAGAAAAAGTAAATCTCTTATGCAGATGAATTCAAATAATTTATGTAGATATTCTACCCTCAAAAATAGAAAGCATAACTTCTCAAATATTTTTAAGCCATAGTGACTTCCTTCCTAAGTATACAGTATGGATAGGGGAAAAAAGAGTAACTTTAAAGTGGAGAAACTTCAAATAAGCAAACAAACAAACAAAAAACAACTACTCTGCCAAATAATCAAAGTCAACATCAACAGTGATAAGTCATGTTGATAGTATATATCCTTGGTATTATGTGATGTCACTTTACCTTGTGGTCTTCCTCCCCAAAACACATAATCGGTCTTGTCATAAAAAAAAAAAAGCAAAAAAAAAAAAAACAAAACAAAACAACAACAACAAAAAATCTCCCAAATGAGGGAGAGTCTACAAAATACCTCACCAGTAACACTCAAAACTGTCAAGGTTATCAAAAACAAGCAAAACCTAAGAAATTGTCTCAGTCAAAAGGAGCAACCACTAAATATAATGTGGTATGTTGAAACAGACTGTGGAACAGAAAAAGAATGTAAGGGAAAAAACTAAGAAAATCTGAATAAAGTATGAACTTTAGTTAAAAAAAAAAGTGCGTATCAATATTAGCTCATTTGTTAGGACAAATGTACCATACTAATGTAAGCTGTCAATAATAGGGAACACCAGCTATGAAAAATAAGCAAACTCTGTAATGTTTTCACAATTTTTCTCTAAATCTAAAACTCTTTTCGAATAAAAGTTTATATTAAAAAATGAGCATATTAGTTCCAAGATTAAAAGGAAAAAAAGGATATATATTACAAATAAGACAATTCAAAACTATTATAAGTTAACATTTAAAAATAGATAAAATAAGATACTAAGAATGAATAGATAAATAATTGACTTTATAACAAAGGACAAAATTTGAAAATGAAAAGCCACAACATAAAAATTTGAGCATAATAACTCTGAAGAGACCAGATAGTTTTGTGAAGCTGTGAGAATCTAAAAGTTTGTGAGGTTAAGGATAAGCTTTAGTGAAATTGAAAATGGTGATATCTCACGGTAACAAGAGATACATTGAAATAGGCATATCCAGAAAACAAAAGAAAAGGCGGGATGGTGTATGGATGTGGGGGGGTGGGGAGGGAATCTGTGTAGAAACAAACCACATTTTCTAGTGACATCAATCTTACACAATAGGATTGTTGTAAACTTTGGTTCTGGAATATGAAATCCATCAGGGCTGAACCTCAGAACAGAGGACTATTTTTATATTTTTGTTTGCCTTTACTTTATACTTGCTTCTGAAACCACTGGAGATGAGCTAAGCTTTCCAAATAAGTGATTTGCTTCTAGACCTCAGATAAAGTTGAAAGGTGATAAGAAGCCATGGGTGGTAGTACCTAAAAAATTATGCATTTCTCTGAACTGTTAAAATGAAAATTAAACTGAAAAAAAGAAAAGAAAAATAACTTTGATGTGTGAATGTATACTTAAAAGTTTAGATGTGGCATTTCTTGAAAGTGAGATCATATTAAAAATTAAGTGACTACATAAAAATTTCAATCATGCTAGATGCTACAGTCTATCTTGAATATAAAAATTAACTATAATTATTAAGGGTATACATATCTTCAGTTGAATGATATTATTCCAAATGAATATATATTACAGCATACACATTTCTCATGGTCTTCTAATACTTGAAAACATTCAGAGAGAAATGTTCATGTTGAATAATCTGATTCACTTTTCAGATTGTTTTTTGTCTTTACTTTTATCCTGTACTGTCTTCAACATGTTTAATACACTTGCAGAGAAGCTAAAAAGTTTTTATAAAACAAGTACATCTGTCTCTGAGTTTCACCATCAACACAACTTCTTTCCTCAACAAATGCTTTCAAGTCAAAATACTCCCAGAGGCAAAGCTCTAAAAAAAAGGCAAATGGGAATCAAGGTATCTGTTATGTATCTAAATACTTTAATAATTCTTCAACTTAGAAATTTTTACCCTTTCCTTTATCATATAACACTTGTTTGAGAGAAAGAGGGAGAACTAAATATTTTATGCAAATATGAAAATAATATTTAATATAAATGTTAGAAATACTTGGTATATAAAAGTTCAGTTTTATAGTGAATAGTTGAAATTTTTCAAAGTTGTTTTCCATAAAAGGATAAATTATTCATTTGTGCATAACTCAAAAAACATATTAATGTTTTCATTTGACAAATTAAATTGTCCATGTTTTTTTCTGTATTCTTTTATTAATATTGACTGTTTTCAGCATTTGGAGTAGAGCTTATGACCAAGAATAGCTTTGAGAAATTAAGACAATTAGGGTTTGGAAGGAAATGTGTTGGACACTTTTACATATGAGACATTTATTCATTATAGTTACACGCAAAAATTGCAATAATTGACTAACGGAAAGAACATAAAAACTTGATTTTGAAGTGAATGTCCTTCGTTATTGAACAATGTAAGAGAACTGTAGTTTTCTGCAAATGTCTTACAATTTATTTTAATACAACATATAGAGTGAATTTTTTTCATTCTAGCTAGCTTCTATTTTAATCTGATGACACATTAAAGAATTTGTTAAATCACAAAGTGGTGTTGCTTCAGAGCCATAAGAAACATTCCAGTGTTCACATACATTTCTCCTTTTGCAGAAAAAAAATAAATAAGTTATTAGTCCAATTCTATAAAGCTGACTAGTAACAGAGTCAGAAAAAGATATCTAGATGAGTTACCTTTTAACTACATCAAATCATACATATACTTATATATGTTTTATACATATGATTAATGATTATTTCTAGTTTACAAATATGCATTCTCCTCTAGAATTTTAGGTAACCCCAAAGTCATATTTAGGAAAATATGACTAAAATTGTTTATTAGTTTCTAATACAGTTTGCAAAAAGGGAAAGATAATTCTTACATGTTTAACTGTTTATCTCTCTAGTGTGCAGCATATCCTAGTTTTCCTAAACAGGAAAGAGTAAGCATTTCATTAAACACATTTTTATACAAAAATTCAAAACACAAAGCCCATGGGCATTTGCACACCCAAACACAGCATAAGTATATACAATGTATGTAAATTACATTGCAATTTTAAAAGTATAATTAGTCTACAAATAAACATTAAAGATATATGAACAATAGAAAACAGAAAGAGATGAATAAAAATTGTTGAAAATAGATCATAAGGTAGTATGTGTTATTAAGGTCCTTTCTCCTTTTTTTTTTAAAAAAACTTATTTATATTTTCTAATTTTCCTATGGTAAATAATGTTCAGTGAAACATTTTTTTAAAAAAACTTATTTATATTTTCTAATTTTTCTATGAAAAATAATGTTTAGTGAAACATTTTAAAAGTCAACATTATAAAAAATATGGAATCATATTTCTAAGTATATTTAAATATTTATTTGTGAAGGCAGATTTAAGTTATATTTTTCAAAAGCAAAACTTGTATGATTATATATTTTAAAATATTTTTCAAAATAATAGAAAATATAATAGAGGATAATTTACAAAATATCTGTTTTATTAGTGTTAACTTTTCAAATCCTCAAAAGTATCCAAACATAGTAGTTCAGTCTGATGCTTTGTTTTTCAATCGTTTTCATAATTCTCACCAGCAGACAGATGAATGAAAATTGGAATAAGTAATAGCACCTATCTCCTAAATGAAAACAATGCATCACATGACTATCACATCCATTTATTGAGGGCTTTCCCAACTTCTGCTGCTTTTTAAATCCATTTCTAAAATTCCTTGAATAAGAAAATATTTAATAATGTGAAAATAAATGATGTTACTTTTTTTTTTCTTTTCAAATTCTTCTCATGTTAGTTTTATTCCAACAGAATCAATGTCTATTAATAAAGTGGCCTGAATTGGGGAATTAGGAGAAAAGTAAGCAAAATTAATGAAAACCAAAACAGTATTTTTCTTACAATAAAATGAAAAATGAAGGAGAGAAAAAAAAGAATTTAAGGGGACAATTTCTTAAGACTATTTAAAGGGTATAGTAAAAGAGTATCAACACAAAAGACGTGATGGGAGGGTAAATTATACAATGAATCATATCAAGATAATTAATCAACAGTTTTTACCCTCAAATGCCTGCTTGGGTACGTGCTTGATTTTTCAAATGCTCAAATTAAAAAAAAAAAGTTCAATAATAATTTTGGTGTTATTCTATTTGATTTTGTTTGCAGAATGAGTCGGCAATGTATAATGGAACAAATTGACTCTTGGCTGACTGGCTAAGTCGTTTAGCCTCTCTGAGCCACATTTCCCTTAACTATAAAATGAGGTTTAAAAAAAGAAGTCCACTCTGAAGGCTTGTGATGTGGATAAATGCTTTTAACTTCTTACTTGAGCCCATTGAAGGTAGGTACTCTGTCCTATTTGCCTTTTTGTTCCCAGTACCTAGCCCAGAATCTGGTGCAAATAGACACTTGATAAATATCTATTCATTTTCTATTTCTTTCTATATAAATAAAACTCTTCTAGGCAGACCTTTGATTTTGATTCTGAGACATATTTGGAATGAAAATATTTTAGAATCATACAGACAGGAGTTTGAATTTCAGCTACACACTTCCTAAATATATGGTATTAAGCACAAGATTTGATCCTCATTTGCATCAATGGAGATGGATGTTAAAAAGTAAATAACAAAACTATACATCTTTCTACCTCCAAACATTGTTGAAAATATAAAACATAACGTTTATTATATGCCTTGCTTTTCTTTTTTACTTGATCAAGTCCAATTTTGCTATTTTTACCTTTGAGTCTGATTACCATGCTGATTTTGTTTCCAAAGGTAAAGCAGCCCATTCCCTCCCGTGAAGAGCCGCAGAAGGTGCTTTGGTTACAATAGGTTAATGGGGCTAATCCACAATTCACACTTCTCTATGATCTCTCCTGGCTTGTGAAATAGGCTGTAGATTCAAAGTCAGGAAAAGCAAAGCCTGTTGTACAAGAAAAAAATAAAACAGCAACAACAAAAACTGCCCTTTTTATTCCCATGCTAGTTATATTAACTGCTATAGCTCTGCTCTCCATTTTGTCAACCCTATTTACAATTAGTCTTAGGGTCACTTTTACACCTTTGGTAAACATGATTCTCAGTGTATAACCTTATTCCTTCCACTCTTTGCATTTCTTCAGGTGGATAAGAGTTTATAAATTTTTTACCTTGGCTCTAGTTTCTCAATTGCTTGTCTCAAATCTGCATCAGTCTTTCAAACAGCCTTGCCAAAATGTGTTGTAAAACAGGGACTCATTGAGAGCTACTGGCCATTATATGTTTAATAAAATCTAAGTCTCTTAACACTTTCATTTTCATTTGAGCAAGTTTGTCCTGCTAGGAACAAAGGAAGCATAGGCTTAGGCTGGTGAATGAAACACATTCAGAGACTTTGGAACGGTGGCTGGCTAATTGCAAGCAACTGAAAGATTCCTTTACACTTGGGATTTTCTTTTCATTTTAAATTATAGCTTTTCTGCTTTTGTATATTTGATCCAAAGGGAGAGCCACAGGAATCTACCCAATGGCCCTGCCTTAGGAAAGGAGTAGGGATAAAAAATGCTAACCAGTTCTGAAATTCTGATTAGTATAGAGAGGATACACAGACAATGTGATCGAGATGTAGTGCAGTGAATGTTCTAATCTGAGCATGGCAAGGATCAAACATAAGACATTTAGAGCAGAGAGAAGGAATTAAAGCCATAATTAACGTGGAGAAAATATTATGCTACATGCATTCTCAGAGTAGGAAAGAAAATGGAAATGAATAGATTTTAAAAGTATGTAAAATGTGATTTTATAAAATTTTAGAATAAGTAGATTAGCAGAAGCATACAGTATTAGCAGGCATAATGTTTCCACTTTTCTTATCATGAATGCCTTAATTATTGCCACAAAATGAAACACAATAGGACTTATTATTACCATGTCCATTTAGCAATGAATTTTATAATAGTACCTTTTTTAGTGGGAGTCTTTCTAATCATATGGATGGAATGAATAATTAGGATGTTCTGCTACGTTATAGATAGAAGGCTATGATAGGACATGTCCCACTGTTTCAAAGTTAGCTATGAGCTTGTTGTCTTTCAACCTCAAAACTATACAGAACATATTGATGTAGAAAACAAAACAATCTTCCACAATGGACACAGAGATTTCTTAGATGAAAAGAAAATTAAGATTAATGAGGCAATAATGGCTGGCTTAGTGTATAGTCAACAGTTCCCTGTGGGCATTACACACCTCGTTTTGAAGTTTATATATGGCTTTATTTTTAAAAAGAAATATTTACCATAAAATCCTTTTCCACATAACCTGTTATTGTTAGCTATAGATCACTGGTAACCTGTTATTTTTTTGTGCGTGTGTGGTCTTTTTTGTTGTTGTTTGTTTGTTTGTTTTTTACCCAAACAAATGAACCTAATATGTATATGATTTTGTTTTCCTTTTCTGGTTTAGCCTTATGCCAAGAAAAATAAATACATGTATAGTAAAAGAAAAAAGCTTACTAGATATATGGACTTTTAAAATTCTACCCCATCTGAGGCTTAAAATGTTATTTAAACATTTTAAATAATATGAACAAACATTTAGAATATTAGATATCATTACAGAAAAATTATTACATTAAAAACTTGTTTTCCTAAAACATTCCCTAAAAATAGCAAATCATGGCTTTGCTATTCTTAAATGTTTCTGTTGAAATTATTTTCTCTATAACAAACTTAAATAAGTCAGATAAGAAAATTATTAAATGTTTGTGAGGAGAGGGTAGGAAAGTGAGTGGAGAAGATACCGTAATCAACAAAACACCAAAACTAAGAATTTGTGGAAATTGAAGATTTTGTTAAAAAATGAATCTGCTTTTACTTTTATGGTCTGTTTATGCCTACTAGTAGAATTTTCAAAATTTCAGAGCAATGATATCATTATATTGTTTTAAATTGGCTAAAATTATAAATGTGTATATAAATCACATACTAGTTTCAGACAATTTTCTTCCTAAAACCTTAGATGTCTGCTACAGATTTAGATGAATCATTTTAAAACTTATTAGCTATATAAATATATATTATATATATTATATATATAGCTTATTAGTTATATAATAAGCTTATAGTTTATAATATAAGCTTATATAGCTATAAGCTTATAGCTTATTAGCTATATATGTAGCATATATATATAAATATATATAAAATGAGTACAGGATTCAAAGTGTTCAATCTTCTTACCCTAAGAAACTGACAAAAAAGGTTCCTTGAGTTAGAGAGCAGCAGGATGAAATTACTTCATCGGGATAGGGCACTAAAAAGCTGAAAATATATTATCATTTCTTCTTTCTAAATCTGTGTAGTGGTAATTGTATGTATGGGAAGTAGGAAGAGATCACAAAGACTTCCATTTCTATTCGTAGCCTCTCAGACTTTTTTTTTTTTCATAGCCGTCTGGCTCATTTATGCTGTATCATTCCTTCTAATCTCCTTTATAAGAATAAAGGATAATGAATAATGCACATATGTAACTATAATAGCTGTCTTTTCATTTTAGGAAAATCATACTGTGTGTGTGTGTGCATGTGTTTGTATTTTGTTAGATTATCTTTCAAATTCAGAGAAATTATCAAGCACTTGCCTTCCATATAAATATTATGATGCCATTCATGTTATTTTCTCAGTTGTCTTAAAAATTCAAATGAATTACTAGAGTTCCATAACAATCTAATTACTATCCTATGTCTAAACCATGCCTGTGTTATTCCGCCATTTCTTTCCTCATTCCCCAAAGTAATCCCCCTGCTTTTTCTAAGCAAGTTCTCTTCTCGAAGTTTCATGAAAACCCATGCTCACCTCTTCTTTGGCACCTTTTTATATTCTGTTGGCTTATGCCTCCATTGTTCTCATCCTCCTTTAATCACTACTAATCTCAACTTTTATTTCCTTTAAGATCTCAAAGAAGTCTGACTTTCTCAACCATTCTATTGACGAGTTCAGAGTTAATCACTAAATTCTTATAGGTCACTTTTTTGACATGTCATTCATAGTATTTTGCATTTTTTTCTTCCTTTTTGTCTTATGTCTATCAAATGCATTTCAATGTCCCTTTGCATGGAAGACATGTCTTCAACAAATGAATTACAAAGTCAAAATTCCTGGCTCTGCTGCTTATTAGTTGAGATACAAGTTAATTAAATCATTCTTAGCTTTGATTTTTCCACTGAGAAAATGAAAAATATAAAATAAAACTCACTTCAGAGCATTATGGTGAGAATAAAATGACTTATGTAAATAGCTTAGCCAGTTGTTGCTTGTAGAAAGTTACCAAAATATGATATATAGGTTCCCTTCTCTATAATTTTATATGCCCAAAGAGTAGCTAGCAAAATGTCTTCCTTGTAACCATGCTTGGAAATTCTTGGTAATAATGAAAAACTACTGTTCTCATGCCAGACTGATATTTTACATTCATTATTTTTCTCACCCACCATAAGAAGTACAATATCATTAATTTTAGATTTTTAAGTTAATGGCAAGTAAGATTATTAATACCACCGCTCAAAATCAAACCATGTTTTTGTTTGTTAGTTTTGGGTTAATGAAAATTAGAACTGTGTTTTTGTATATGAATAACAGCAAACTAAAATTTTTCTTCTTAATTTACTATTCTTCAAGCAAAATACCAAAACCATACTGAAGACACAGTAGGGAGTATTTGAAAGGTAGCAATCTTATAAACCTCAATCTGTTTCTTAAATCCTTCCAACTCAATTTTCACATTAGAAGTAAATAATATTGCCTCTCATTCTGACATAGGCTACCAGTTAAACAAAGCCATCCTTTTTTACCTTTCAATGTTTGTTGTAGAGCTGGTATAAAACCTTGGAAAATAAAGAAATAATTCTGTTTAAATAAAATGAAACTTTTGACCTTTTTTCCTCCTAGACTATAATTATATTAATAGACTAACAAAAATTTAAGCAGAGAAAGGTGAAGATATAAGGGATAGAAATAAATCTTTACTCTTGAAATTCATATAAACTTATTAAGAGGTATAATCTTAAGCAATACCATAATATCATGATTTAACTTGTGATGATTTCCACACACGACTTAATGAGTTCAACACAAGTATATTCATGATATCAACTTGTAGCTCTTTCTGTGAACCAGTCTTGTTTGAATCCCTTCCCAATATCTAACTCATGAGACATAGACTCTACTATCTAAGCAGTGAGTCTTCAGGACTAGTTTACCTAGGGAGAGGATTTCTCCATCAAAATAAGTGAGGACATCAAGAAGCAGGATGTGCCATAGGACTCAGTGCAGATCATGTAGGACTGCTCAAGTCCATAATGCTCAGAGAAAACAGCAGTGTTGCAGGAGTCATAGACACGATGGAAAGAAGGATATTGGGCTAATAGACTTGGATTATATTATAAATAGTGAGGACAAGCAGGTCAAGAGTAATACCTTAGAACAACTCTTTCTGAAAAACAATTAGTTGGTTGAGGCTGTGCACTACATTATGGTTTGAAGAAAGCTAGTTCTAAAAACATATTTTACTTTTTTGAACAAGATTTTGTAAGTTTTCCTTCTCTCAACAATAATCAGATATTATGTTTTAGGAACAGATTTAAAAGTGTATTCTACCTGAAGGAATTCTCTATTTTACTTAATTGGGATAAGAAGCAACTAACAGAATTACTGAACTCATATTAGGTAATGGGAAGTATGATTACATAGCACTATTCTGAATTCATGAAAAGTTCTTCTTTCCTTGTCTGCTTGAGAAACTTCTAGTCATCCTATAAAATGTCATTCAAACAAAGTTACTGCTTATGGCTTCCAAGAGACCTAGTCACCCTTTCAGAAGAATGATCACTCTCTCCTATGAATGATGGCTATATCTTACACACCACTTTATTACCACATTTACTGTGGGATACACATTTTTAAAATTATTATTTGTCAGTTTCCTACTCTATAGTTAGAGTCAACAGATAAGTGTATTTTTCAACTTTATTATCTCAGTACCAAATACAGAGTTTACTAAATAGTATGCACCCAATAACTGTTATTTTCACTATGTTGAAAATGATAAATCAGGTTGTTGATTAAAAAATAATAAGACTCATTGTAGCATATAATTAATACAATTTTCCTAAAGTGTTTGAAAAGTATACACCAAAATATTTTAAGAAATAAATATCAGTATTATTAAAAACAAGCAGTCAAAATATCTACTTTAATATAGAATGTTCATTTGGAGGTGTAAGCTCTCATTTCCTTTAAGCTTTAAATATGTATCCCTCGGCCGGGCGCGGTGGCTCACGCCTGTAATCCCAGCACTTTGGGAGGCCGAGGCGGGCGGATCACGAGGTCAGGAGATCGAGACCATCCCGGCTAAAACGGTGAAACCCCGTCTCTACTAAAAATACAAAAAATTAGCCGGGCGTAGTGGCGGGCGCCTGTAGTCCCAGCTACTTGGGAGGCTGAGGCAGGAGAATGGCGTGAACCCGGGAGGCGGAGATTGCAGTGAGCCGAGATCCCGCCACTGCACTCCAGCCTGGGCGACAGAGCGAGACTCCGTCCCAAAAAAAAAAAAAAAAAAATATGTATCCCTCTTCTTGCTCAAACATACTGGTTATTCCTTTAGAATTCATACCTACTGGTGGCTCCTTTTTCTTAGCCCTCAGCTGCCTCCTTCAATCTGTCATCTTGAATTGCTAAATAAAGCACTGGCCACATTCTTGGGGGTAGGTTTGGTCAGCAGATACATTTTGATTGGTCCACTGAGAGTTGAAAAATGCTTGGATTAGTTACAAGAATTTGAACATAAAGATTTGTTTCACACAACACTGGATATCATGCGACTCTTCGACTGTGAGAAGATCAAGCTACAATGAATCTACTTTCCTACAGGTCCACAATTAGATGGAGCTACCACACTTAAGTGAGGTAACTCTTTGGTTTGTCACAACCTTTACCAATTCCTTTTGCTTTATGTATGCTCCTGCCTGGCCCTTGTAGATATTTTATTTATAATCCTTGGACCAGACCTTTTAATTTTTTAACTTTTTCTCCCCAAGCATTGCCTTCTGCCAAACACAAAAATGGTACTCACACTCCACTATATTTCTACTCCTTGTTTCCTCACTCATCTAGAAAACATTTTGAGTAAAATTAAGACTTTTATATTGTTTTGTTAATTTTATTAAAGGAAGTTTTAAGATGAGTATTTTGTGTTTTGAATTGCAAACACTTAAATGTTTCCAGGTTTCATGAGACACAAATGCATACACAAAGAACAATACAGTACATAGAAGGGTTAAATTTTATAATTCAAGGTCAATGTACTTTATAAAACTTCAAATGTTAAATTGAAACTGGTAGCTCTAAATGATGAGAAAACATGGACACATGAGGGGGAACAACACACACTGGGGCCTGTCGGAGGGCAGGAGGTGAGAAGAGGGAGAGGATCAGGAGAATAGCTAATGGATGCTGGGCTTAATACCTGGGTGATGGGATGATCTGTGCAGCAAACCACCATGGCACACGTTTACTTATGCAACAAACCTCCACATCCTGTACACATAACCCTGAACTTAGAATAAAAGTTGGTAAAAGACCCACAAAACCTGTTAGCTCTGAGAAAGTTACAGTTGACAAAAGCAGAAAGGTTATCTTTTTCATAGATGGTAGAGAACCATCATCTTCAACCTTGAAATATATAAATGACTTCAGAGAAAATTTTAAAGAAGTAAAACAAAAGGTAGTAGAAGAGATTTGGGAGATAAATTTCTCAAAGTATTTTTTTAAAAAAGTAAGAAAAGAAAACTGGGTGATGGCCTTACATCTTCAAAAATGACTGATTGAAGATGTCAGCAACAATTGTCCCTGAAAAATTATTTTGGTGTCATGCTTCTGAAGGGGTTTCCTTACCGTCTGACTTGTTATAATAAAAATAGGTGAACTTGTAGTTTGGAACTTTGTAGTGAAAGCTATGATGCTTTAACATATTAAAGATGATTGCAAGCAAGATTGTCCAGTTGGGCTATTAAAATGAGTCACTTTAGAAAACTGACATTTTCAAAATTTCCTCCCACAGTTAAATTGTTCCAGAAGAAATTTAGAAATAGCACTGCTTATGGATTGAACTTTTAGATGGGTAATTTGCCTACATAGATTCAAAAGTCTAAATTTTTTTTCTGGAAATAGTAAGATTAACTTAGTAAATATGGTGTTCTTATACTAAAGAGCTGAGCATTACAAGTATAACTATGATTCTATTATTGTTATATGAAATAAAAGATTTTATTTGATTTTTATTTCTAACACATTTAAAAAGGCCGAATCCTATTTAAAAAATAACCATGAAATTATTTCAGGGCATCTAGAATTCTGCCTGCCTGAGAGGAGGTGATACCAGCCAGTTATATGAGGAGACGGGAGGAGGCGGTGTTTGATGGGTTGGTTTTTTACCAATGGGTTTGTAAAAAAAACCAAAATGAAGCTTTTTATTGCTTCAGTTTCTTCATCTGTAAACTAAGAATAATAATAGTGCCAAGGACCTTGGACATAAAAATTACATAAGCTAATGCACGCAAAACACTGAGATTAGTGTAGGCTCATATAAATATTAAATAATTGTTAGCTGGCATTATTATTTCAAAAGACCTTAGTAAGTTTAGACTGAGTCCAAATAGTACAGCAGTCATAAATGATGTCCATAAAATCTGTGTACAGTTTGAATATTTCATGAGTTCACTTCTGTGTAATATGTGACAATCTGCAAAATACAACAGAGAAAAAATCTACTCAAAAAATAAATTGTTAATGATTTCTTTGTTCTAATTATGTTTATTTTTCCAAATAATATATTGACTATAATAAATAGCTGAATTCAAATGTATCCAAAATTATAGTGAATATTTTAAAATATAAATGTCTACAATTAAATGTTGAAAAACATCCTGCTCATCTCAACATGGAAAGGTAGGACTTTGGCTGGAACTCAGGTACTATGGTTGAGTTGAAGAAGAGGAAAGCACATAAAATAGCATTTGGCCGATTATTTTTTCCTAATACAGAAATAAATTGAGGAGGCTGTGAATACACTGTATAACAAAGACACTATATAAGAAATATCAGTGTGTTAGCACTAAAATAGTTCATTATTTATGTGATTAGAATAAGGACATTTGATAAACTTTTTTGATTTACTGTTTCTTGTAAAGATACATTACAGTTTATGTGCATTAGCATAATTTCAAGGCCCCAAAGGTAAATGTTATGGGAAGATAATTTATTTTGTTCATATTGTTTCTCCTTGTATTTTTTTGTTTATATCTCAGTAATATATGAATATTTAAATTTCATGATGGCAACTATATTTACAGATAATTGAAGCCTGGATATTTTTAATTTAAAAAAAGATATTTGCATGGTCACTCTTCTAGCAAGTAAAATGATTTTGCATTGGTTATTTATTCACTAAAATTTCCACAAATATATTCTAAATAACAATTACTGCTCTAGCAGAATATAGTGGACTAAAAAAAACTACATTATAGTTTGCAGGAAAAGATGAGACAATTATTCATGATCAAGTAGAGTTTTCTAGACAATGAGCTCATCTCAGTAGTACATAAAAACAATACGTTCAAATATAATTCAATAAATGGGCTAAAACCTATTTAAACCTTGAAACCTGTTATTTTTTCTCCAGAAAATGACAAACTTTAGAGAGAATTGGAAACTTAAGTAATCAGAGATTTCTTCCTAAAATATGGCTTAATTATTGACTTTGTTAGAGAAGTGTGTGTGTGTGTGTGTGTGTGTGTGTGTGTGTGTGTGTGTCTACAGTAAGCAAAGCAGAATTCTAGATATTGGAGATCCAAGTGGATTGAATATACCTGATCTCCAGGAGCATATGCTGGATGAGGTAGGTAAGTACACTGTCGAGCTCAAGCCCATGTGGTAAACACTAATCAAATGATTTGGGAGTGCCATCGAAGGGAAACAATCTGCTTTCAGGATGTCGGGAAAAGGGACCTAGAGTTAGGCAGACGATGGAGAAAGGCAAAAGAGTTCAGCAAATAAGGAACAATATATATATATATAGTGGTCCCTAGATCAGTACAAGGATAGTGGTGGCAACAGCAAAAGTAATAGAGTTAGGGAGGAGACAGGTAGACAGATAGGAGAGATATGTGTTCTTAAATAATGACTTAAGAAAAATAGCATAGATTGAAGGAAAATACTCAGGCTTCCAGGAAAGATGAAGTTTACAATCACATAGATAAAAAATACTGTTGTTAGAACAGGTTTGTGAAGGTTATGCCTGACATAACTGAGGAGTAATAAAGGTCAGTAGGTATTAAGTAAATAAAGAGGGTGTCTATCATATTGATACTTTTTCTGTACTTTAGATATATATATATATAGTACCTGCCACTTTATAGAATACACATACCTATTTGGGAGACCATCTTTTAGCCATACAGTGATGCTATTTCATACATGACTAAATGACCCATTTTAATTATGTCTTCATTCATAAAAAGAAAAAAAAGTGTTAAAAATTTGTACTCTGTAGTTTTTCTACATCCTGTTTTAACAAAAGCATCTTCAATGTAGGACATTCTCAAGTTTATTCCTTACATTTTTGAGAATCTTTACTCTTTGCTTAAAAGGAGATTTTTGCCCCAGCTTTCTCTTCTTCTCAAGTCATTTTTCAGACATATAAGTATAAAAACCAATTTATTATATAAGAAATGAGATAAAGGGCATAGAATTTAGGAATTGAGATTGATGACACGCTGTATATTCTTCTGAGCTGAAGTAACCAAGGTCAAGCAGAAGTAAGATTAAACTGTTATCCTTTGGATTCTCAAAGTCTTTCCCCAAAATATGTAGGAATGAGACATGGAGAAATTGTAATTCAAATGTCAACATTTGACTTAGTAATTTATCTGAAATGCCCAGACACAGAAAAAGATCAACAATTAAATGCAACATGCTACAGGCAATTGAAATAATATTCCCATAACTAAAGGTCATATTTGTATTAATGGTAAAGAATATATTTGTTTAGTTGGAATTAAAAACAATACATTATCTAAAGCAAGAAGTTTTATTTAGAAGTATGACTGGTACACAGCAGGCTTAGTAAAATTTTAAAACAGAAAAATAGGAGATACAGTACATTATTGTAATGGTTTTGAAGGTATATCTTGAAAATGATTTGTGAATTAACGGTAAAATATATTATTAAAAATGAAATCTTTGTTATTTTAAAGTGACTTTGGTATTCTTTTACTCAATTTCTTTCATTTTGAAGATAAGGGAAATAAAGATCAAAAAGGCTATGATTTGATAGAGTTCAGAAGGCAAGTAAAAGTCAGGACTGAAACTGGAACCTAGGCCTCATGAGCCTTTGTGTGCATGTGTGTTTTGTTAAACCATATCAGTTATGGATTTGATTTTTATTTTCTGGATAACCTATTTAATCTAAATTTCTATTAATTTAGTAGATAGTCTAGTTTTAAAAATACCAATTAACATAAGAAGTTACTAAAAGATATGAAAGAAAACTATTTTAAACAGCATTTTTTTTGTATTTTTTATGCTTAAAACAGCCATTAATTTCACATACTAAACCCTAGTGATGTTTTATTGTCATTTTTAAGTGAAAAGCTCAGTTAATTCTTTTACTTGGATTTTTTACACTCAGTAATGGCAGAAATAATGCAATAATTGCCATGCTAGTGAACAGTTCGCTCATTTGCCTGGATAAATTATTTAATATTTGCTGTTTCAATCTTAATATTTTCCAATAAGTTTGTTAATTATGACACTTCACTATGCTTACTAAGGGAAATTATGAATTTGGGCACTGTGGTTCTGGTCTATTTCTGAATAGTTTGTATAAAACACTCATGTATACATACAAAAAAATAGAATGCTAAATTGCAAAACGTTGGCCCTATTTCTTCTATTTTAGTTCATTCTGTGATTTGACATCTATAAATACCTATCTTCTCTATTTTTTATTCATAGTGCCCAAAATGCAGTGTTAAATAGTTTGTCTATGACTCATTGACTTACTTTACAGATGCAGAAAATGCTCACAAATTTCATAGTGATTTACTGAACGGAAAATTTGATTTTAAACCATGCTTGCATAGGTTGAGGAATGCTGTAGTGTTGACAGAGGAGGTGAAAGTCAGGAAATCTGGTAATCTATATGGTGGCTGTGGTTAGGCTATTATTTAACTCATATTGATACCTCATTTTAAGTTTAGAATACTTTGTCTATTTCATCAAATTAATGATTTTCAGTGACTGCAAATACACACACTAAATCCAAAGTGATCAATAGCTCCTAGAGAAACTATATTAATGATGGAGGTGATACTATTATGGCAATTTCATGAACTATATTCTATGACCTATAAAGGTGTTAGACGTTTGTATCTTCTGATTGTTTCTCTAATCTTATATACCATTTAAGTTTACTTCAGGAAAGGCATGTCTAATAAAGTAATTTAAAGTGCAAAATTAAAAACTATGTTTCAAAATGGGAACCAAATTTATAAGATAAGTTCATTGGCATGAAAAAGAGATACCATATTCCATTTTTCAGTTGATTATGCTTATTAGAGCAAAAATCACTTGATATGTATGATAAGAAGGTTTCTAGCAGATGTCTCTTTGATGTAAGATATAAAACAGCACATACCTCATTAAAGAACACATCAAAAGCATAAAAATGCAACCATTAATCTATATTTCATAATTTCCCTATAATAACTCTAAGTGAAACTCATAGAACACAAATGAAAGAGCTATAGAAGAAGGTAATATTAACATTTATATATGATTTAGTCCTTGTTCCTTTGAATTATATTAAATAGCTGTTGGTCCAAATTGACTATAAAGAATTTTTAAAAGTTTAATATATAAATGATAACTTAGGAATTTTGTTCCAATAGGAAAGATGGCCCTTTTCATTCATTTGTCAAAAAATGTATGCTATCAAGAAATGTTAGACTTGAATGGGATACTGAGTACCATCAAGCCTAATTCCTACATTTTACAGATGAGTATATTGAGGCACACAGTAGTTAACTAACTCTATCACCCCCATAATTAACAGAATTAGAATATTGATGAAAATCAAAATTTTTAGACTAATATTTCAATGCTCTTTCTATACTCTGCTGTGCTATCTTAGAAGCATACTTTCTATCTCAGAGAATCTGAAATCCTTAGAGTTGGAAAATGCCTTACATTACAGATGTTTTTTATTCAACAGCACAAACACAAACATATAAAAATACCTATAAAATATTAATGTTATAGGTATGCAATAAAAACAATTGATAATGTGGGAAGTTCCATAAGAAAAAGAACCCACTTTATGAAGAAGAACATTGCAATGAGGGAAAGCTACCCAATAAATTAAGATATAATGAATGGAGAGGTCAACCAAATGCAATGTGTGAATCTTATTTGGATTCTGACTCAAATAAACCAACTTCAATTTTTAAAAAATTTATATATCAATCAAGGGAAAGTGACCATTCACTGGACACTTAATGATACTAAGTATTCTTGAAAAATGACAATAATTTTAAAAACTGTAGGCCTGATCTGTTTCATCAGACACTTTCAGGACCAGTAATTTATCTATTGGTGCATTGCCTAACAGTAGACACACAATAAGCTTGTGTTGAATTTGTTGTTTTTTCATTTATTAATATTATAATATATGGAATAAAAGTAAACATTTCAAAGTTGTAAATTGCAAGTATATAAAAATTTTTAAAATCATATCCAATTTAAGAGTCAAGAGAGTTTCGAACACATTAATTTACTCAAATTTGTATTCTACATCAAAATAATTTAATTTTCCTCTCAGACCTTGTACTTGATGCTGAAGGTCAAAGGTTTAAATTTATATGCTCATCTTTCTTTTTGGATTCCAACATAGTCCTAATTGAAATTTGACATATATGACTATTAGTTGAAATTATTCCTTTTCCATGCTTCATTAACAATACACTTTACTATACTACAACGATAATGCTCATAATAAAAGTCTCCTATGCAATGTGGATTACACTGAAACATGATTGATTATCTCAAATGTAACATAGAATTCGTATTATAAAATTTAAGATGCTGAAATTGAGTCTGTGACTGGAATTTAAATATGCACTGAAAGAAGCAAAATCAGTTTTCATTATTAAAAAAGAGTAAAATTTTGAGAAACAATTTTCTTTTACTTAGTTATGTTTTAATTAGAGATGAATATGATATTCAGGCTTTTTTGTGAAGACATTTTCTTTGAACATTAATTTATTGTTATAAATTATATATAGTTTTAGTTTGTATGTTGTTTCTAAAGTATGCATGTTCCTGTGTTATTATTACTTTGTATTTAGTTCCAAGTATAATGTTTTATAAAAGTATGGCTATTTATAAAGTCTAATTCTGCAAAGTACATTTAACAAAACAGCTATAGAATGAATACCTGCTGATTTCCTCTACAGCATCAATGTCCTTTCTCTTCTGCCAAAGGTAACCTGGCTTTCCTTTAGTAGAGTTTGCCTTTTCCCTGTATAGTAACAGTCCTGAAGTTCCCAGCCAGTTTAAGCCAATTGCAAAATGTTTGGTCACCATATCTGGTTTAAAGACAACACGAATAATATATTTGCTGAGACTTTCTGGGAAATAAATTTCCTGATTCTTCTGAAAACAAAACAAACAACCAAAAAAGCCTTCTAAATAAATGCTCTCTTTTCCTTTAATAGGTATGAGAGAGCCCTGTGAGTGCTGAAGGCATTTTTCTACCTAATGATGACTCTAGTACTGGAGGAAGCAAAATTGGAAAAATCTTAGAAAAACGGACATCTAACCTTGACCAAACATGCCTGAAGGCTTTCTTCCCTACCTGAATTATGATATATTTTTCTATACACAAAATAATGTAATTTTCAAAGTTAATCCTTTGAAAGCTCAGATTTTTTACAACAGCTTTAACAAGGCAATAGCTTTACTGTGTGCTGTGAGCTGATAGATTGGGAACTTTCAACCACTTACACTATGGCTAAGAATTCAAATCTCTGGAGAAAGATTAGGAATGTGCATTTACACAAGCGTTGTTATCTCATTCTGACGTAGATGGTCATCTACCAGACAATTTGAGTTTAAGTTTTACCTGGGAGCTTTGAAAAAATACAGATGCCTAGCCCCCACAGACCTCACATCCAAAGATTTGGTTCCACTAGAATGGGGTACAGGTAACAGTGTTTAGAGCTCCATAGCTTGTTAATGTGCAGCCATGGTGTCAAGGCAAGACTTCTCAAACTTTAACGTGCAGACAAATCATTCATCGATATAGTAAAAATGCAAGTTGTGATTTAGTAGGTCTGAGATAAGGCCTGAGATCTTGCATTTCTAATGAGTGTCCCAACTCTAAAAAACAAAAATCAGTTAATCAGGCTAGGCATTGACAGGCATGTACATTACAAGTGAAGTAGATAAGGAAAGGTTGGTACTAGAAATTATCCACTGTACTGGGGCAAGTGTAAAGAGCACAGATCCAGTTAGAAGTTAATAGCTTTTTTTGCATCACTAATTTTTTAGAGGCTAGGAAAGTCCATTTTAATATTACGCATTTAAGAGAGAAACTAGGTATTAAAGAAATTAACATTTAGCAGTTGGAAAATATTGACTTGGTAGCAGGGAGTCTGTTATCCTTGCTGTTACCCTGAACATTTCAATTTCAGAAAGTTGCATGACTTTTGAATCTCCTCCATGTAAGACATCCTGCTTGACATAAGGATTTATTTCTGACTTTCCATCAGTTTCTAATTAATAGCACCACTGTGTGCTACATGATGTGAGAATTAAAAATCTCTAAACAGTACCACAGGAGCACCACATTGCACTTCTACTTGAAAAAACACCTGATCAGTTATCCAGCTGTTTCCTCCAGATGTTTTCTGTAAACTCAAAGGTCATTGTTTCACTAAAATTGAGATTAATTTGGCTTAAACATATCTTGCTCACTATAATAAAGTAGAGCTATTAAAATCAAGTTTTTAAATAGCCACAGGTATATACAATCAAATGTTGTAGAACTTACCAAATATATGTTTCTAAAAGCACTTTCTCTCCACTTTTATAAATCTAAATGCAAAATCATATAGTTTGTATGTTTTGTAATAAAATGTGTAGTGACACATTCTTTCCTCTGAGTAAATATCTCATGACGAAAAGGAACATATCATTATTAGTACAGAGTAATAACAGAATTCACTATAAGATGAAAAGCTCAGCAAATGGTGACTGCTCTTGAAATGACAAATAACACATAATATCTTCCCCTAAGCTAATCTGGAAGCAAAATAATAAGACATGACCTAAAGGATACAGTATATGTGTCTGTATGCTTTACTTTATAGCATCTTTGTAAAATAATGTGATTTTACCAGATTGCATGAGATTGTGTTATAACCAGATACTATTAGAGTCATAGGCATTAAAAGTTGTCCTTCATAAGGGGTATTATGGCATTTAATTACAAGTATTCTTTTTCATAATGAAATCAGAATGCAAACACCAGCCCTACAATAACTCTGCACTTGAATAGCAAACCAAATATTCCTCAAAGGTCATAATTTTATAAGTTTGAGATTAAAAATAACATCTAATCTTTACTACTGCTGTCTTTCCATCCCTAGGAATATTACTTATTTTCATTAATTACTTATTTAGTCTATTTGATCACAAAGTTAAATCAAAATCTCAGAGAAGACTACAGCAATAACATTTATCAAGCTCCATTGTGTATCTGTCATTGGGTGTATACTATTCTGTGAACTATGGCCTTCCACGGACTATTAATAAAGAGACATAGTTACATATCAATATTTATTTCTATGACGTATGTCCCCTATGAAAAAAATATACCTTGGTCTATGATTAAATGTCCTTTGTTTACAAAAACCATTATTGTGTACTAAATTATTCGTCCTTTTTCCTTTCAAACAATAAAAAAGCTATTGAAATATGAAGTGAAGCTTTGAATGTCCCAATGTTCATAGCCAGATTTAAATTACCAAACTAATAGCCAAAAAACCCAAGAAGAAAACAACAGAGTGGGAGATTGAAAGACACAATTGTTTAAAAAAGAAACAAAACAGTAGAATGGAAACATCTGGTCTTAGCATGAATATAACAATAATAGCAAAAGGAGTAGAAGTGGCACAAGAACACGTGCATTGTGTGGGTTGCTGTGTGTTATGCACCAGGTTAAGTCCTATTTATTTGTTATATAGTTCTTCTAATCCTATTATATAGGTATTTCATCATTCCCGCATTATATCTGGGGAAATTGAGGCTTGAAAATCTCTAATTAATCTGTCAAATCTCAGATCATTATTAAGAGGTAAAACCAGGGACTCAAACCTAAATCTGACTTCAAAGCCTATTGTCTTAACCAAGCTACACTTGGCAGCCAGAAAGCAGTACACAGAAAGTATGTACTTTTAACTAAATAAAATTACTCTGAAATAATTTTCTACTCAAAAGAAATTATCTTAAGATAAAAAGTATTGCTAAAATCATGCTGACTGGCATCCAGGAAAAAATAGGACTGACAAAGAACCGTTTATTAATATGGCAGGCAGGTTGTGACCACTTATTTATTTATTTATTTATTTATTTATTTATTTATTTATTTGAGACAGAGTCTTGCACTGTTGCCCAGGCTGGAGTGCAATGGTGTGATCTCTGGTCACTGCAATCTCCGCCTCCTGAGTTCATGCCATTCTCCTGACTCAGCCTACCAAGTAGCTAGAACTACAGGCACTCAACACCACGCCCAGCTAATTTTTTGTATTTTTAGTAGAGACGGGGTTTCACTGTGTTAGCCAGGATGGTCTCGATCTCCTGACCTTGTGCTTTGCCCGCCTCAGCCTCC